>NC_000022.11:30224715-30376230 GCF_000001405.40 Homo sapiens | reverse complement strand
ATAAGGGCCCAGGAGTCCCCTCCCCACTGTACAGAGAGGGTGTCGTAGCCAGGGATGGGGAGGGAAGGGCCGGGCGCATATCCATGGGCCCTTTCACCTAGGGGCAGGGCCTAGGAAGCCTTCCAGGGCCTATTCTCAGCTGCAGAGCCTTGGGCAGGCAGCAAGTGTGGGGAGGTTTCTTTCTGACATGGCTTCTTTTTTTTTTTGTAGAAACGGGGTCCCATTATATTGTCCAGGCTGGTCTCAAACTCCTGGGCTCGAGTGATCTGCCCGCCTCAGCCTCTCAAATTGTTGGGATTACAGGCATGAGCCGCCGCACCCGGCCTGACGAGGCTTCTTGCTGCACTTAAAGGAATGACAGCTATAGAGGGCATATGGGACTGGAAGGCATCGGATCCATAACATCCTCACGCCTTCTGGAAATGTGAAAAATGTTTCACAAAAGCACAGCCTAAGGCCTCATGTGATGAGGTGGGCTCTCCACAAGTTCCCGGGGCAGAGTCTGAAGACCTGCTGCTGGATAGGGGCTTCCTCCTGGTCCCCAAGGGCCCGCCCTCTCAGGCCCACCTTGAGGCCACCCTGCTGGGCCACTTCCCGGATTTTGGACAGCATTGATTGGAGCCGCCCGTTCTCCTCCTGTAGGACCCGGATGCGGATGTCGTTGGACTGCACTTGCCTCTCCATGTGATCTGTGACGTTGCCAGAGTCTGTGGGACATGTTATCTGGGATTCCACGCTGCTGGATCTGCCTCCTGTGCCCAATGGGACAGGACCTTAGAAGGGAGGCACACCAGCTTGGGCAGGTGGCCTGGAGGCACAAAGGAGCTGTGTAGTGCACCAGGCCTCCTAGCTCATCTTCCTTCTCCCGAGGCCTTATTCCCCCTTCCCTGTCCCCCAACCTGCAGGGAAGATGACCATAGTATTATAAAATCTGAGAGCTGGGTGGGACCTAGAGCTCTCAAAAGACTTAGCAAGGCCGGGCGCGGTGGCTCACGCCTGTAATCCCAGCACTTTGGGAGGCCCAGGTCAGGGGATCATTAAGTCAAGAGATCAAGACCATCCTGGCCAACATGGTGAAACCCCGTCTCTACTAAAAATAGAAAAATGAGCTGGGTGTGGTGGCGGGCCCCCGTAGTCCCAGCTACTCAGGAGGCTGAGGCAGGAGAATCACTTGAACCCAGGAGGTGGAGGTTGCAGTGAGCAGAGATTGTGCCACTGCACTCCAGCCTGGCAACAGAGTGAGACTCTGTCTCAAAAAAAAAAAAAAAAAAAAAAAGACTTAGCAAATAAGCATGAGAGGAGAGTGAATCTCTGACAAGGCCCCCCCGTTTTGGACAGGCTACAGCCAAAGTGAGCTGTCCAAGGTCACACGGCCAGCTCAAGCTTGGGAACGGCAGGAATTCCGCCAGGCTGCTCTTCCCCTGCTTTTGTGATGGATGCTTCCTTCTGGCTCCAGGAGCCCGGGAGAATTGCTGCCCCTTCTGGTTCAGTTTCCTGCTATGGGAAATAGCTATGGGGCTATGACCTGCCTCACAAGGTGGTTGAGAAGGGGACAGAAGGGCCTGGATGATGTCTCACGAGCAGCTAACTGCACATCTTCCTGCCAGCTCTGCAAAAGGATTTGCCCTAGTGCTTTAGGGGTCTGGAGGGGCTGGGAGAACCCAGGTCACCTGATATCCAATCCTGTGCCAAGATGGGTACCTAGCACTCCTATGCCATGGGGTCCAGGACAGTGGGCAGCTGGAGGCTGTGTCCTTGGGACTAGTCCCATGGTGTGGTTTGGGGACCCATTCCAAGAACCAAGAAGGGGGACACACAGAAGTCGAGCAAGAATTAGCATGTGACGTAGTGAAGAGCACAGGCTGTGGGGACAACCAGACCTGTGTCTGCGTTTGGCTGTTGTGACTAGAGGCAGTCACATCACTGTTGGGCTTTCACGTCCCTGTCTATGCAGAGTGGATGACGCATGAAGCACTTGCGTGCTGTGGTGGGTCCACAGGGGCTGCGCTGCTGGCCGCCTGGCTTTAACACCCTTGCTGCAGGCTAGGGAGCTGCAGTCCCCAGTGTCCTGCCCACACGAGCCCTCAGCTGCTGGCCCTGAGCCCCAGCATGCCCTTGGCACCATCCCCAGTCCCCTACCATGGATCTGGGTCTCGGTGGGCCTGTGCAGGTCTGGGAAGGCCACCAGCAGCCGCTCCCGCTCCTTCAGCTCCTCCAGCTCCCGTTCTAGCTCCAGGATGGTTAGCCGCAGGTCCGTAGTCGCCTGCTCCAGGCCTTGCTTCTCCCTCTGCAGGCTCTGCAGCAGCTCCTGGGACAGACGGAGGCTCAGGCCTGGCTCCTGAGTGAGCTACATGGTACTCAGCGCCCTGGGGCACCGTCCCTACCCAAGAAAAGACATGGGACAGGCCTGCAGGCACTCAGTTGGCCGGAGACTTCTCTGGCAAAAAGGAAGACCCCCACCCTCACCTGCTGGGCCCTGAGCTGGCATTGCCCCTGCTCCCGCTCGCTCTGCAGCTGCTCCTCCACGCGGGCCCGCTGGGCCTCAGCCTCGTCCAGGCTGCCCCGCAGCTCCTCACGTTCCTGGTCCAGGCTGTCCAGCTGCTTTAGCAGGGCTCGCTGCTTGGCCTGCAGAGACTAAGCAGGAACGGACAAGCAGGGAGGCTGTGAGACCCACAGGGCTAGGCCCAGCCATGTGGAACTAAGGAGGCTACAGCATCTACTACCCCTCGGCTGCTACCCCCCTGGGGTGTGTGTCTGTGTCTAGGGAATGCTGGTCACATGCGTGGAAGGGTAGGGGTCGGGGGAAGCTGGCAGCAGGCAGATGCACACCGGACCTGGTCAAGGCCAGGATCCCAGCTTGAAGACCCCGGCCCTTGGAACGCAGATGGCTGGCTCTGGGGGTCTCACCCCCACTTCCTTCCAGTCATACACAGACCCCACTTGGAGAGGAATTCTGGGAACTAAGTTTTTCTTCTCCTCGGGTCTCCAGTGTCACATCATCCCATGTTGCTGAAGCCCACATTTCCTAACACCCACTGAATGGAAAGCAGGAAGAACTAACGCTGGACTGCTCGGAGTCCTGGCTCCACCTCTCACTAGCTGTGTGGCCTTGGGCAACTTCCTTAACCTCACTCAATAAGGCTGTTTCCTCATTCGTAAAATGGGGGTGACAAGAGTATCTACCTCCTGTTGCTGTAGCGAGGAGTAAGCATCAGAGGCTGCGGCGCCTGAAGCCTGGGTCACAGCAGACACCTGATACATGGCGGCTGTGACAGTTTGCAAGGCACAGAGAACAGCACCCACTTGGGGTAGAAAGGCTTCCCCTACCCTGGGCCCATGTCTGACCCTGGGGACTCTCAACTGAACTCCTGGCTCCTTGCTGAGCTTTTGAGGGTTAGACCCAGCCAAGACAGCCCCCAGACCTGCCCCTTTCACTAGGCAACAGGTCACCTACTCCCTCAACCACACTTCTGAGGACTCCTGTGAGGCCCCATTGCCCAGAGCACAGCTATGCCCCGGGCCCTGGCTCACCCTCTGCCTGCCCTGTCCTTCCCCTGGCTGATGGACTAATTGCCTGTCATGGGCGTCCAGCTCAAAGGCCACCTCCTCCTAGAAGCCATTCTGGATTCCCATGGCAGATGTGGCCATCCCTCCCTGCACCCCTTAGCCATCTGGCAGGAGAGTGTGGCACACCTGCTCATCTTTGCCTGTGGGGCGCTCTTCCAGAGTGAGGCCTCACTGGGCAGTATCAGTCCCTGGGTCACTGTTCCCCCAGTGCCTGGTTCAGGGTAGACTCTCTGTAAAGGTGAGTCAACCCCCACACCTGGAGGCATCTCAGGGAGCAGATGCCCAATATAGATGATCCCCCATTCCCTGACAGTGGAGCCCTCTTTCCCTGCAGCCTACATTGCAGATGCCCAGGCTAGCGAGGGCCCTGGCCTCACCTCCTGGTGGCGGACCATGCTGTCGACACGGGCCTTCTCCTTATCCAGCTCCGTGCTGGCCCAGCAGACCTGCTGGCCAGCGCCCTCCAGCCGACCCACCAACAGCTGCACCTGCGCCTCCAACTGCTGCACCTGCTCCTCCAGCTGCTGCACCTGCCTCTCCGCTGCCGCCCTGCGCTCACCTTCCTCCTGCAGCTGCTGGGCCTTTGCCTCTGCAGCATTAAGTGGACATGGGATGGGGTAGGGCAGGGGAGCGCTGTACTACCTCAGACCTAGGACGGGAGCTCACATCCCATCTCTGGGCCTCAGAGTCCTCAGCCACAAAATGGGGCTCTAGACCCCACCTGAGGTGGGTTTGGAAAATAGAAGGCGCTTTCTCGGTAGGAGGTGGCAACCCAGTTTGGTCATCGCCAATAGTGTGGTTGGTCAGGCCCACCCTCCTGTGGCTGGTTCCCTTCAACTTTGCCCTGGATGCTCAGGGGACAGAGATGGACGATGCTCATCCAGCCACACCCCTGGCTTGAGATGTGGCATGGGGGCCTATGATGGGGCTCCTTACCCACAGCCTGTGTGGACTCCCGCTGCTGTTTCAGTTCTCTCTCCAGGGTGGCCATCTTTGTCTTTAGGTCACTTGTTTCTATGGCAGCCAAGAGAGAGGCCCTTCAGAGGGTCCCATGGACCTGGCCGGCGGCCTTCATGCCCAGTGTGCCCCGTGGAGTGGAGGCAGCCCATCGCCTGCAGAGGGGCCGCCTGCGGCCATGGGAGGAGCTCTAGGGAGGCTGGTGGAAGCGGCTGGGCCCTTACCCACCCTGCTTCTCATGGGCTGGCTGCCATGTGTCTACACCTCTCTGGGCCTTGGTGTCGTCCATGGAGGCAACTGTGATGAGGCTCAGAAAGGGCAAATCCCTCAGGCCTCCCATCAGTGGGCACTGGCCATCTTCTGGTGCCAGGAACTTTGTCTCTAATGGCTTTTGCCACAACCAGAGAGGCTGCTCTGCTTGGCTGGAAGTGCCAGGGGAATAACTCTCTGGAAGTAGCCCTCAATGACTGACAGTGCAAGTGGATACATACCTCGGTTCCCTCACTGACCGATGGACGAGTCTGGGCAAGCGTCCTAGCCCAGCTCCTGGTGGCCCCAGTGGGACTGAGATCACAGTGTCACCACCGGATGAACACCCCCTTCCTTGCTGCCCTCCCTTCCCTGCCTCTTGCCTGTGTCCCAGCCTGGGTTCTTCCACACAAACCACTTGCCCTGGAAGCCCTGTCTCACAAACATCCATGCAAAGGCTGTGGCAGAGCCCCTGGGCACCAGGCGTCTGGCCTCTGGGGCACAGACCTGTGAGCAGCTGCTGTTTGTCGTGCTCCCACTCAGACAGGCACTGCTCATCCTCCTCCGCCTGTCGCCGCCGTGCCCCCTGCTCCTGTTTCAGCGCCTGCTCCAGCTTGCCCGCCTGCTTCCTCAGGCCATCCTTCTGCCCTTCAGCCTCCTCCAGCTGGGCCCTGAGGGCCTCCACATGCTTACTGAGGCGCGTCAGGTCTTTCCTCTGCTCTGCTGCCCAGCGGCCCACGGTGGCAGCCGGCAGTGGCCTGAGCCCCATGCTGTCCTGCACCAGTTGCTGGAACTGGCCTAAGGACGAGGGCAGGTTCTGGCTCTGACACAGGCTGATGACCACCTTGCCCACCTTCTGCAGGCTTCCCTGGACGCTGGCGCATGCGTCACAGGGCACCAGGGCCGTCTCAATGGTCTGGGAGTGGACACTCCTGGTGTTCTTGAAGGTCGTGGCTGGGAACTGCAGGGAGGCTCTGACAGGGATGCTCTCTGGCTCTTGGCAGGTCTGGGGCAAGCCTAGCACTGGGGAGGAGGGCTTGATTAACTTGGTAGTCAGATATTCAGGGCTCCTGGCTGGCTCGCCCTTGGTGGTGGGCTTGGAGGTGGGAGTCTCCCTTTGGTTTGCCCCTTTCTGTGTTCAGAAAAAGACAAGGGAAAGCAGGTGAGGGAGAGAGTAGAGAGGGAGGTGACTGGTTCCCTGGGGGATGTTCTGTGACAGTGTGACAGCCTTGCCTGACACTCAGACCCTCAAATGTTCTCTGACACCGACGTGAATAAGAGAGAACTTTCTCCCTCTGTTACTCTGACTCAGCTTACTACAGCCAGGTCTCCTCTCTGCGGCCCGCACCCCAAGCTCCAGGCTTGATCTGATTGTATGCATGGTGTTGGGAAGGTGATGGTGACGGTCACAGCTGCTGGTTACTGGGCTCTTGCTTACTGGACCTGCCTGCTCTTGTGTCACCATAACCACTCTCAGTTTTAGTTTCCTTCCCATCATGGGAACAGTGGTTCTTCCCCAGTGGGTGGTTGTGTGGATTACGGGATAGCCCATAACAAACAGGGGTCACATGACCTCCGTTGTATAGATGAAGAAACTGCGGTTCAAAGTAGGCAAGATTTTTCCAAAGTCCCACAGGGATGTCAGAGCCAGGGAGCAAGGCATGATCCCCAAGGCCTGCGTTCTTAACCGCCACACTGTGTGGGGCTTGATTGGGAGGGCGGTGGGAGCCAGTAAAGGCTGTGGTGCACATAGTGGTAGGCTAGGAAGCCAGAGCTGGGGCGAGGTGTGAAGGCCACCACAGTGGGGAGATAGAGGCTGAGGCTGACCCACCTGAGACAGAGGCTGGGACCCACCTGGGGGAGTGGCTGCTGGTGGAGCGTGCCCAGCCTCAGCAGGCTGTCCCAGAAGCGCCGCACCGTGAGCCCCACGGACATGCAGGGCCCCGCAGCCTGTGCAGGGGGCATCATCTGCTCTGAGCCAAGGTTCTCCAAGTAGCTCATACAGCTTTGAAGCAGCAGCAGGAGCCTGCGGGCAGAGATGCTAGGTTGCTGGGGCCCAGGCTGGTGCTAACATACCCTCAGACCATACAACCGCAGCTCTGGCTCTGGGGAACTGGCCCAGGCATCAAGAGCTTGGAGAGTCTCAGAATATGCTCTGCTGGGCCAGCTTCAAACCTAACCCAGGGGCTACTTCCTCAGGGAAGCCCTCCCTGGCCACAGCCTCAGCTTGGGAGCCTCTTCTGTGTCTCCTGGGTGGCACTTCTGCCTGGCTCTTCTCCACTGGACCAGGGAGCTCTGTGAAGCCAGGCCTGGCCTTGCCTCAGTTGTATCCTGAGTCCTTGAAAAGTTCTGGGTGAATGGCTGCCTTATATCCAGTGGCCCGGAGCCTCCACTTGATAGATGACAGAGCTGAGACCCAGAGAGGGGAAGAGCTTGCCCACAGACACACATTGATAGGGCAGAGCAGGGAGTGTGCACAGTCTCCTGAGGCTAGTCAGGGGCTTCTGCAGGGTGAGCTGCTTCTGTGACAGTGGAGACCTGTGTCAAGACAGCTAGGTCTCTGTCCTAACCTCCAAGTTTAAAACTACAGTCAGGCATGAATTGTAAGAAAAAGGAGTATTATAATAAAAAGCTAAGTTTGCATTTGCATGGGAACCAAGCTGTTTTAAAGAAGTATTGTGTTTACAACACATACCAGGAAGATGAGTGAACTTAGCTTTTTGCAGATGCAGGAGGGTCATTCCAAAACCTGTAGGGCCTTGGGCAGAGAGGGCCTGGGGGCAGAGGTGCCAACTGCCTCCAAGGCCCCGCCCCTCTCTGGCCAAGGTGTCCTCCTCTGCAAACAGGGACAACAGCACTTGCCATGGTGCCAAGCAACATCGGGGAACGGGAAAGCATCTGAAAAGAGGACAGAGCATGGCTTTGGCAGAGCAATCCGTCTGCTTAGACCAACCGACCCTCGCAGCGGGAGACTGTGGTGCTGTCTGCAGCCTCAGCCGTGATCCCACCCTTGCCACGAACTGAGCAGCTCAATGCTACACCACTCTAACTCAGCCAGAGGTAGGCAGAGGGTCAGGTAGGGCAGAGGGCATGTCAGAGACAGCTTCACAGAGAAGCGGCTGGGTAAACCAGGCCATGATGGATGGGCAGGACACTCCTAGCAGAGGGACAGTGTAATGCATAAAGTTACGGAGAAAGGAAGGTGTGTTCTGTGCTCATACACGTTCAGCTGCTCAGAGGTTACAGATGGTGCTTTTGTACCAAGGGCTCCTCCAGCCCTCAGAGTGGTAACCCTGGCTTCTCTGTCCCTAGGCAGGTCATCCTGAAACCACTGGAGTCCCTCTCACATTCTTTGCTACCTGTCTGGCCGTCACGGCTTTAAGGTTGTTTTTTGTTTGTTTGTTTGTTTTGAGACAGTCTCACTCTGTCGCCAGGCTGGAGTGCAATGGCACGATCTCAGCTCACTGCAACCTCCGCTTCTTAGGTTCAAGCAATTCTCCTGCCTCAGCCTCCAGAGTAGCTGGGACTACAGGCAGGCACCACCACGCCTGGCTAATTTTTGTATTTTTAGTAGAGACGGGGTTTCACCCTGTTCGTTGGCCAGGCTAGTCTCGAACTACTGACCTCAGGTGATCCGCCCACCTCGGCCTCCCAAAGTGCTGGGATTACAGACGTGAGCCAACGCACCTGACCATTTTTAAGGCATTTGAGCGCTAGAACCCTGGGATACAGTCCCCAGAATGTGAAAGGCTGGTGACCATGTTAGCTTTGCTTTTTCTTTCTTTGAGACAGGGGCTTGCTCTGTTGCCCAGGCTGGAGTGCAGTGGCATGATCATGGCTCACTGTAGCCTCGACCTCCAGGGCTCAAACAATCCTCCCACCACGGCCTCCTAAGTAGATGGGACAATAGGCACGCACCAGCCAGGTGCAGTAGCTCACGCCTGTAATCCCAGCACTTTGGGAGGCCGAGGAAGATGGATCACCTGAGGTCAGGAGTTTGAGACCAGCCCTGGTCAACATGGTGAAACCCCGTCTCCACTAAAAATCCAAAAAAACTAGCCAGGCGTGACAGCAGGCACCTGTAATCCCAGCTACTTTGGAGGCTGAAGCAGGAGAATCTCTTGAACCCAGGAGGTGGAGGTTGCAGTGAGCTGAGATCACACCACTGCACTCCAAGAAGAGCAAAACTCCGAAGAAAAAAAAAAAAGGCATGCACCAACACACCCAGCTAATTTTTAAAATATTTTTGTACAGATGGGGTTTCCTTATGTTGCCCAGGCTGGTCTTGAACTCTCAGATGATCCTCCCATTAACCTCCCAAAATGCTGGGATTACAAGTGTCAGCCACCGTGCCAAGCACACCATGTTAACTTTATTTTTATTTTCACTTTTTTTTTTTTTTGAGAAAGTCTTACTCCATTACCGAGGCTGGAGTGCATTGGTGTGATCTTGGTTCACTGCAACCTCTGCCTCCCAGATTCAAGCGATTCTCATGCCTCAGCCTCCTGAGTAGCTGGAATTACAGGCATGCACCACCACACCAAGCTAATTTTTGTATTTTTAGTAGAGACAGGGTTTCACTATGTTGGCCAGGCTGGTCTTGAACTCCTGACCTCAAGTGATGCACCCGCCTTGGCCTCCCAAAGTGATGAGATTACAGGCGTGAGCCACCATGCCCGGCCAACCATGTTAACTTTAATGATAGCTTAGAAGTGATGAGGCTGCAGGAGAATCAGCAAGGCTCTTCCCAGCGGGTCAGGATTTGGAAAACCACATCCCGTGTCCGGCCTTGTGATATGCAGAGGGAACAGCACAACCCACAGGACAACAGGAAAGAGAGCCCGGAATGGAAACTCTGAGAAGCAACTATGGGGTCCCCAACATAGAAACCCTGAGGAGGCAGCTGGGAGAGGCTGAGAGACCGTGGTCACAGCTGTGGTGCCACAGAGACCGATGGAATGGAAATCAACTGCCTGAGGTGGACAGGCTAGGAGAGCCTAACACAGGATAGCACAGCACACAACACAAGACACATGATAAAAGGTAAGACCACTTTGAAAGTCCTGAGCTGATGTGGCCCCGACAGGTACTCAATGGTGACTGTTGTTCCAACATCACCCCTGCCTCTGGAGGGGCTTCCGTAGCTGCCACTGGTTTCAGGGGCAGGTGCTGGCATCCTGAGATGACCAGGCTTGGTCAAGGCCCTCACCTGTCGATGACCAGCTCCAGCAGCACGGCATGGGACAGCTGCGTGAACTCGGGGTCACCCGGAACATGGTCATAGTGCTCCAGCAGGGCCACCATGTCGAGGTCACAGGCCATGCGGTCAGGGAACTTCCAGGAGGGGAAGCGCACAGGCCCGGCGCGGGAGAAGACGTCTACGATGGCACCCTGCAGGTCGGTGAGGTCTGTGCGCAGGCTCTCCATGCAGGCCTGGCTGCCCAGCAGGTGCGCCATCCTCACAGATCCTGGGGTGAGCAGAGAAGAGCCCTGCCAGCCAGAGCCACGTGGCTGCTGCAGGAGGAAACTCCCTGAAACCCTCATCTGCCCAGGAGCTGCTAGGCCGGAAGTTCACCCCAGACCCTGGGGAGAAGTCTGTTTCCCAGCCCCAGGTGACAAGGCCTTTCCGACCCGGTTCTGGGTGGCCTTACCAGCCTCTCAGTTCCCCTACCCCAAGCACATACTGCAGAGTCCATCACTCCATAAGTCCTTCCTGAGGGCTTGTGTATGTTGGGCCCCCTGCTCAAGGCTGGGTGGATACAGCTATGAACAAGAACATGCCTACCATCCTTTCCTCCCAAAGCGAACCCTTGAACAGGGCACACACAACTGAGAGTTACAGCTACAGCGTGATGGGGAGAGTTGGGCCACACCAGGCCACTGTCATATCCTGCCTAGACCACTGCAGCAGGTTCTAGCTGGGTCACAGGCCTGCCCTCTCCAATCTGAACAACTTCGGCTCCAGAGATTTGGACGAAACTCTATTGGACCATGTCATGCTGGCCACAGTGCCTCGGTACTCCCTGTGGCCTGTGGAAGAAAAGCCACCTCCAGACACATCCCTCACCCCACCTCTCTCCAGTCCCCTCCCCTCTACCCCATAGTCTCCCCTCCACCCCACAGTCTCCCCTCCTACCACCATCAGCTACGAGTTGCAGCTCATGCACACCAGGCACTTGTTTCTAAATCCTCGCCCATCTGTCCCCTCTGTCTGAATCATGCTCCCCTGTCCAATTCCCATCACCTGGCTAACTCCTCTCATCCTCCAGGGTTCCTGGATATTACCTCCTCCAAGAAGGCTTCCCTGAGTACCCTCCATGCTGGCTTAGATAATCCCTCTGGGCTTCCACCATCTCAGCTGTGATTGCTCTCTGCTGGAATGGCCTTCTCTCTGAGCCACCTTAGTCCCTGTGGTATCCCCAGTGCGGCCAGCCAGGGACCTGGCCCATTGTAGATGCTCACTGGCAAATAATGACTCAGTGATTGAATGGAGAAAAGAAAAAGAATCGCAAAGAAAATTTAAAATGCACTTGACTTCTAAAGTGCAAGAGAGGAAAACATGAAAACTTGCATTAAGACCTATTGTCACCAGCGGTGACAGAGAAGCCATTATATATATGTTTTTTGGTTTTTTTTTTTTTTTGAGATGGTGTCTAGCTCTGTTGCTCAGGCTGG
The DNA here is from genome assembly GCF_000001405.40 of Homo sapiens. Classification (NCBI taxonomy): domain Eukaryota; kingdom Metazoa; phylum Chordata; class Mammalia; order Primates; family Hominidae; genus Homo; species Homo sapiens. The sequence goes on along the minus strand of NC_000022.11, from coordinate 30,364,782 downwards.
AGTACAGTGGCGTGATCTCAGCTCACTGCAGCCTCCACCTCAGCCTCTGCCTCCTGGGTTCAAGCAATTCTCCTGCCTCAGCCTCCCGAGTAGCTGGGATTACAGGTGCCCGCCACCACGCCTGGCTAATTTTTGCAGTTTTAGTAGAGATAGAGTTTCTCCATGTTGGCCAGGATGGTCTTCTGACCTCAAGTGATCCATCCACCTTGGCCTCCAAAAGTGCTGGGATTACAGGCGTGAGCCACGGCACCCAGCCCCATTATATATATTTTTAAAACAATTTTTGTTTTTACTGATGCATAATAGATGTCCATAGTTTCAGGGTACATAGTTTCAGGATTATTTAATACATTCATATAATTTGTAAAGATCAAATCAGTGTACTTAGAATATCCATCACCTTAAATTTGTCTTTTCTTTTTTACTTTTTTTGTCTTGTTTTGTTTTTTGAGACATGGTCTCTGTCACCCAGGCTGGAGTGCAGTGGCACCCTCACAGCTCACTGTAGCTTCAACCTCCTGGACTTAAAGTGATCCTCCTGCCTCAGCCTCCCAAGTAGCTAGGACTACAGGCATGTGCCACTACACCTAGCTAATTATTTATTATTTTGGGGGGGTAACATCTTGAGCTGGCAATTTAAAAAATTTTTTGTAAAGACGGGATCTCACTGTGTTGCCCAGGCTGGTCTCAAACTTCTGGGTTCAAGCAGTCCTCTCTGAAAGGCTTGGCCTCTCAAAGTGCTGGGATTACAGGTGAGAACCACCACACCTGGCCTTTTTTTTTATGCTAAGAAACTTTTGAGGCCAGGCGCAATGGCTCACGCCTGTAATCCCAACACTTTGGGAGGCCGAGGCGGGCGGATCACCTGAGGTCAGGAGTTCAAGCCTGGCCAACATGGTGAAACCCCATCTCTACAAAAATACAAAAATTAGCCGGACATGATGGCGGATGCCTATAATCCCAGATACTTGGGAGGCTGAGACAGGAGAACTGCTTGATCCCGGAGGTGGAGGTTGCAGTGAGCCGAGATCGCGCCATTGCACTCCAGCCTGGGTGACAGAGTGAGACTCTGTCTTAAAAAAAAAAAAAAAAAAAAAAAGAGAAACATTCCATTTATTTTCTTCTAGCTATTTTGAAATGTACAATAGATCACTATAAACTAGTCACCCTACTGATCTATTGAACACTAGGACTGCCATTACGTTTTTATACAGAGAATCCCAGCCCTGCCCCTTCCTGGCCTCAGGCAAGTCACTGAGGCCCAGCTGTAAGATGGGGACATTGTCTCCAAGCAGGCCAGGTTGTTGTGAAGGCATTAAAGGAGTCATGAGTAAGGTGCTTGGTCCAATACAAGGCACCAGTAAAAGTTCTTAAGCAATATTAACTATTATTATTATTAATAATATTATTAGCAGTAACCACGGCAAAGCCCATCCTTGTCTTGTGCTGGGGCCTGGCTCCCGTTCTTCCCCAGTTCCCCTGCGGCCCACACAGAATGCTTCTGGTCCATCTTCTGCCGCCTGTGGACATCTGAAGGTGGCGATCTGGATGAACAGTCTATGACCCTTGACTCAGAAGGTGGAGAAGCGAGACACTGCCCTGGTCCCTCCTGTGACTTATCACCCTCCAGCAGGGCTGGGGTGTGAGCTGGCAGCTGGTTTCAGAGCCAGCATTCTGCTGGGAGTCAGGCAGCTATGCGGATGCTGAGTTCCAGCTCCTCCCCACCTGCCAGCAGGGGCCCCTTGTCCTTGGTGAATTTCTCAGTAGCAGGAAGTACCTCCTTGCACCAGCCCCTCCCTGAAGCAGGGGCTGCTTGGGCAGCATTTAGGCCATGGCCCCTTCTGCCTCCAGCAAGTCCAGGGCTGGCTGAAAAATTGTTCTCCCAAACCTATCCTCCCCACCAACCACCCTCATCTCAGAAAACGGCACCCCACTGAGTGCACCTGGCTTAGCCCTCGACTAGGCATTTCCTGAGTTCCCTCTTTCCTCTACCCCCATGTCCCAGGACCCAGTGCTGCCAATCCTACATCGAGACCACACTGGGAACCCAGCATTTCTCTCCATCAACACTGCTCCTACCCCATCATCTCCCCAGACACTGCCAGAGCCTCCCTGAGGGGTGAGCCACTTCCCTTCTGCCCTGTACCACCTGGTCCATCCTGGTTGTACATGGCAACCAGAGTGATTGTTTAATAAGGCAACCCACCCCTGCTTGGAGCCTTTTCCTCTCTTTCTACAGCACTAAGACTGGACCGCTTCCTGGGGCTCCTGCCCTGTGTGGCCTGCCCCAGCTTCAGTGTCTCCCCACCCAGAATGCGCCCTTCCCCACACTTCTTCTAGATAAGACACCTCCCTCAGGCCCCCCGCCAAACATCCCCTCTTCAGGAAAGCTCCCCAGGGCCCCAGGCCGGGCGAGGTTCCCTGTCACACATTCTCAGAGCATCCTGTTCTTTTTCTTCCCAGCATACACCACCGCCAGAATGGAATCATTATTTGAGAAGTTATTTGTGGTTGGCAGCCTGTCTCCCTGTGAGCGTGTGGTATGACCTGGTCACCTGGGCTGAGAGGACTAAGGGCCAGCCTGTGCCCACAGGTGCTGGGAAGCTCAGAGGCACCCAGGGGAGGGGTGGACTCTTCACCCTCCCAGAAGATGGGGCTTTCCCCTTACCTCTGTGCAGGTGTCTGCCCGTGGAGCTGGAGTGACTGAGTGTGTCTAGTTCTCAGACGAGCCTATGGGCTCCAGGGCTCTGGGTCAGAGGCTCATCCAGGTGCCCGGCTTCCTGTCTCCAGTGCAGGGTTGGCTCTGAGTAGCTCTTCAGACCCTGGGAGGGGATGACAGTGACAGTGAGTGAAAGCACAGTCAGGCAGGGCTTCCTGAGAGCAGGGTAGAAGGCTGTCCAGGAAGGAGAAGGGGTTCCAGACTGAAGGAAGGAGGGGAGAGAAGGGGCAGGTGGGCTGCCTGCCTTCAGCCTGAGCAGAGGGTACTCTTCAATAGTGCTGGCTTCGACTGAAGAACCTACTGTGTGCCACTTCCCTGAATCTGCCTCATTTCTACAGAGGAGGAAACTGAGGCTCTGAAAAGTTAGGGAGCTTGCCCGAGGTCACTCAGGAAGTTGAGATTCTGAGTCCACCATCTCTGCTCTGTCCTTCTAGAGCAGCAGTGTCCAAAAGAAATATACTATAAGCCACACACACAATTTTAGGTTTTTCTACTAGCCACAGATGGGGTACAGGAAATGCTACCCCAAAATATGGCACCTTAGAAATGCAAAAAACTGCAGAAGCAGGAAGGCCACCCTCATCTTCCCCTCATCCTTCTTCTCTGAAGCAGGCCGCCAGGAAGGTCAGTCTGTGACCTCTCCCCTCCTCCCCTGAAGACCCTCATGTGACAGGTGTCCTGCCCTATACCCAGATGGGAAGCAATGTCACATAGGGACACCAAGAAGAATCTGAGCAAACAGGCCTTACTAAATCCATGCCCTCCCTCATGTATTACTACTAGATCATACCTTTTTTCTTTTTTTTTTTTTTTTTTGAGACAGAGTCTTGCTCTGTCACCCAGGCTGGAGTACAGTGGCACAATCTCAGCTCACCACAACCTCCGCCTCCTGGGTTCAAGCAATTCTCCTGTCTCAGCCTCCTGAGTAGCTGGGACTACAGGTGCACACCACCACGCCCAGCTAATTTTTGTATTTTTATTATTTTTTAAATTTTTAATTGTATTTATTATTTTTTTGAAAGAGAGTCTCGCTCTGTTGCGCAGCCTGGAGTGCAGTGGTGCGATCTTGGCTCACTACAACCTCCACTTCCTGGGTTCAAGTGATTCTCCTGCTTCAGCCTCCTGAGTAGGTGGGACTACAGGCACGTGCCACCATGCCCAGTGAATTTTTGTATTTTTTATTAGAGATGGGGTTTCACTATGTTGGTCAGGCTAGTCTCAAACTCCTGACCTCATGATCCACCTACCTCAGCCTCCCAAAGTGCTGGGATTATAGGTATGAGCCACCATGCCCGGCCAATTTTTGTATTTAGTAGTAGAGGCAGGGTTTCACCATATTGGTCAGGCTGGTCTCCAACTCCTGAGCTCAGGTGATCCACCCTCCTTGGTCTTCCAAAGTGCTGGGATTACAGGCATGAACTATCGCGCCCCGCCAGATCATACCTTTGGGTCCACCAATCATAATTCTGCACACTGACCATAAAAACACAGATCTCCTTGTTTCTTTGGGTTTTCATTTCTGAAGGTTTCCATGTCAGGGAAAACTTTTTTTTTTTTTTGAGACGGAGTCTCGCTCTGTCGCTCAGGCTGGAGGGCAGTGGCGTGATCTCGGCTCACTGCAAGCTCTGCCTCCTGGGTTCACGCCATTCTCCTGCCTCAGCCTCCAGAGTAGCTGGGACTACAGGCGCCCGCCACAACACCCAGCTAATTTTTTTGTATTTTTTAGTAGAGATGGGGTTTCACCATGTTAGCCAGGATGGTCTCAATCTCCTGACCTTGTGATCTGCCCGCCTCAGCCTCCCAAAGTGCTGGGATTACAGGCGTGAGCCACCGCGCCCGGCAGGTAAACTTTTATTAAATTTGTATGCTTTTCTCTTGTTAATCTGTTTTTAAAATTTTATTTCATTTATTTATTTTTTAGAGACAGGGTCTCACTCTGTTGCTCAGGCTGCAGTGCAGTGGTGCTGTCATAGCTCATTGTAACCTTTAACTCCTGGGCTCAAGTGATCCTCCCCCTCAGCCTCCTGAGTAGGTAGGACTACAGGTGGGTGCCACCGCACCTGGCTAATTTTTTTGTTTTTTGTAAAGACAGAGACTTGCTATGTTGCCCAGGCTGGTCCTGGCCTCTTGGCCTCAAGCAATCTTTTCGTCTTGTCCTCTCAAAGTGCTGGGATTATAGGCGTGAGACACCTTAATCTTTTATTAAACTTGCAATGAGTGAGGAAAATATATTACTTTTTCTCCCCTACACATTAAAAAGAGTAAAAATAAAGGTCAATTAACTTTAATTTTAACAGCATATTTTATTTAACCCAATATACCCAAAACATTATCATTTCAACATATCAATATAAAATTATTAAGGAGATTTTTAACATTTTTATGGTATTAAGTCTCAAAATCTAATGCCTGTTTGACAACACATGGCCATTTGGACCAGAAACCATTTCAAATGTTCAAAATCTGTGTTGGCTGGTAGCTACTGTATTGGACGGTGCAGAGGGTTGGATGCTGTGTGTGCATTCAGCAAATGAGGACTGAGTATCTGTTCCATACCAGGCACTACGTCAAGACCAGGAACACAGCAGGGCACAAGGAGCCCTGTCCTCCAGGAACTACCAGTGATATCTGAGGGTCTCCGCAAGGGGTAAGCTTGTGTGTGCCAGTTTCACCCATGGGATATCACCCAAGGGATACGTGTCTGCCCCATGATACTCACAACACACATGCCCACATCCTACACTCCTGTTGTCTTGGCAACTGCCAATGAACTACTGCTGCCCAAGAGATTTTATGTCTCCAAGGAGGGAGGCAGAAACAAAGGCAAAATAACACACGGAAGTATTCTGGGTTTCCTTCCTGGAATGGGCATGAAAGAAATAAAGAAATCAAGAAGCCCCCAACCTGGGAGAAAGTGTATTCAGGTGGCAAAGCATCTGGAATTCATAAGCTTGCTTGTGAAGGCACCAGGAAACACTGATCTGTTCACCTTCAAATAACTATAGCTGCCACATGGGGCCATCCTGGATATCAACTCCCAGTAGATCCTGGATCAGATAAGCAGCAGCAAATGCCCAAGTGTCAGGAAAATCCAAGATGACCTTATGTTGTTTCTTCTGAAAATTGAAGTCATGCAGATACAAGCATAGTTTAAGAAGTACTTTATGTGTGTGTCAAGTGAAGAAGCACTTGACGTGAGCTCTTTCTGCAATTCCTGGGTCTTGAGTGGAACCCTCAGTCTGAAGCTGCCAGCCCGGCACTGTACCCATGACCACATAGGTGACAGCACTAATTGAGCCCTTAGGGAGGAGCAGCAGCTATCTCTGCCTCTCCTCAATTTCCTGGGGCTCAAGGTGGACTTTTGACTCCCAGAGAAGAGCAGGAGCCTTTCCTGCATTTCCGTTCAACATTCAAGCGCCTTCTCTCTCTCAGAACTAGTACCCTAACCCTACTCGGTAAAGATGATGCCTACTTCCCAGCCAGGGTGCCTGGTGAGATTCAAAGCCACCACCATGAAAACACGGGAAACTCTAAAACCAGCTATGTGGCAGATGTCAGTCTCAAACATGAGATTGTTAATTGCCTGGATCCCTGGGGATACTGAAGGGACTGAGGGCAAAATAACTAACTGCACTAGTAGAGGAATAAGACTGGCTTGAACTTGCATTCCCACTCTACCAACTCCAAACTTCACTGTCCTCATTTGTAAATAGGTTGCTATAAGGAATAAATGACGTAACACATGAAGTGTTGGGCACAGTATCCGGCTCATAGTAAATGACCAATACATCCCAGCTATCATTATTCTACATTAATAACAACCATGACACACAGCTACGATGTGTGTGGGGGGAGGGGGAAGACTTGAGAGAGCAACCTTTCCTATCACTCCCTCATTTCACAGGTGAGGAAACTGAAGTCCAGGAACAGGTTCGGAGCCAGCTCCCCGCTTTCCAGAGTTGAGGAGAGGAGGAAGGAGAGAGGGGGGAATCGCAGGAGAGGGAGAGAAGCCGGCGGGATTCGAGGTAGGCCTCTGGGGAGCGAGCCGCATAGCTTGCAGGGCTGCATCTGTGAGAGTGAGGGGTGAAGCCTAAAGCAGCAGCCCTGCGTGATGGCTCATGCGTGTAATCCCAGCACTTTGGGAGGCCAAGGCGGGAGGATCGCTTGACCCCAGGAGTTTGAGACCAGCCTGGGCAACATAGGGAGACGTCCTCCCATGTCCCTACAAAAAAAAAAATTTAAAAACTGGCCGGGCGCGGTGGCTCACGCCTGTAACCCTAACACTTTGGGAAGCCGAGGCGGGCGGATCATTTGAGGTCAGGAGTTCCAGACCAGCCTGGCCAGCATGGTGAAACCCCGTCTCTACTAAAAATGCCAAAAAAAAAAAAAAAAAAATTAGCCGGGTGTGGTGGGCGCCTGTAGTCCCAGCCACTCGGGAGGCTGAGGCAGGAGAATCGCTTGAACTCGGGAGGCGGAGGTTGCAGAGAGTCAAGATCGCGCCACTGCACTCCAGCCTGGGTGACAGAGCAAGACCTTGTCTCAGAAAAAAAGAAAAAAGAAAGACAAAGAAAGCAGCAGCCTTGATTTGAGAGGGAGGCCCCCAGTGGGGCTTGAGGGCGGGACTACGGAAGGCAGGGGATGGAAGCAAGAAAAGGCAGGTTCCGTGGGAAAAGCGAATTAAGGGCGTAGGATTTGGAAGCGGGGCTTGGAGGATGTGGGTCTGAAATGAAAGGGGGGACTAAGGGAGTAGGGAAGTGGGGCTCTTAGGCGGTGAGCCTGAGGGGACAGGGGCTCTCCTAAATGAGAGACCAATGGGAGGGAGCTGGGCTCTTGGAAGGCGGGGTCGAAGGGAGCGAGGTACTGGCCTGTGGAGTAAAGGAGCCGCGAGGTGAGTGCGGCGGGGGTCCGGCGGGTGACGTACAACATCTCACCTGTCTTCGGCGTCGCGGCTTCAGCCTTCGTGTCTGGTCGGCTCCCGGAACTGCCCCCGGTGCGCCTGCGGCCACCGGGATCCCCGAAAAGCCCTAGCCGGGCGCTCAGGCCGCTGCCTTGGCAACGGCGTCGGACGCCGCGGTGCCCGCGGGGAGGGGCGGGAAGCGCGTCACGGCGAGGGGACGGTCCCGGAAGTGCGCCAGTCGTACCTTCGCGGCCGCAACTCGCTCGGCCGCCGCCATCTTGCGAGCTCGTCGTACTGACCGAGCGGGGAGGCTGTCTTGAGGCGGCACCGCTCACCGACACCGAGGCGGACTGGCAGCCCTGAGCGTCGCAGTCATGCCGGCCGGACCCGTGCAGGCGGTGCCCCCGCCGCCGCCCGTGCCCACGGAGCCCAAACAGGTACCTCTCCCCCGCCCCTCAGCCTGCAGCCGGAGGGTTGGCCTGGGCGCTCCTTACTCGCACAGGAATAAGCGGCCGGCCGCTATGAAGGGCTTGGAGGGACTGCAAGTCCCAAGAGGCTGCGCGCTTCCCGCGCTATGGTGGTGTTCTGGTAGCGAAATGAGCCACCCTGAACGGGATTCTCTAAGTGGTCCGCGGAGCAGCCCCGTCGGCACGAGCCGGGAGCTTCTTAGAAATGTGGAGTCTCCGCCGTAGATCTTTTAAATAGGAATCTACATTTGAACAAAATCCTAAGGTGATTGATTTATAAGTGCGAGAGGCGCTGATCCAGCCCATCCTCTGATCTTATGTAGCAGTTGGGGCCGCCGGCCACAGCCTTTCCCCAGTAATGGCTAATTTCCCAGCCTGCACGGTACATCTTTGGATGTTAATTCTCAGCATCTATTTCGGTGTCTGCCCCAAGCCAGACACCGTGCCAGGCTCCCACATTACCGGAATGAATGGGGCATGGTCCCTGCCTAGGGAGCTCACAGGCTAACGAGAAGACAGACATATGAGAATGCTCACCAAATGTTTGTTGTCCCAATGGCCATCGATGATACAGTGCCAGCCCGCCCTTAATAAAGCTCTCCAATCTCGAATGTGCACAAACCATTGTAGTATGGTGTGATATGCCCTGTGATAGAAGTTTCAGGTACAAATCTAATGAACATTGTTTGCTGGGCTAGAAGGGATATTAAGGTAGGGAAGCCCACAAGAGTGAGAGGTAAATTTCTTTTAGAAGAAGGAATAGGAGTTTGCCAGGTAGGTGACTAGGGAAGGGAAATAGCATCCTTTATTCATCCAGCAAATATTTATTGAACACATACGCTGATCATTGCTTTGGGTTCAGAATAAGGGGGGCGGGGGGGGGGAACATGACTGAAGAAGCCATGCCTTTTCCACAAATATTTAAGTGCCCGTGTGTCCCTGGCATTTTCCCAGGCATTGGGGGAAAATAAGGTAATAGCCAGATAATATGCGCAAAGACACCGAGGTGAATCAAACGGTGTCTCTGATCAAGAGTAAATGAACAAGTGTTGAAGCATAGACTTAGGAGCGTAGTGGCAGGAGATGCGATTCTTACTTAGGATTTGAACTTTTCCTTGTAGACAGTGGGAAGAAAAGGGAGTGTTTTAAGCCAAATAGTGACATTTGTGTTTCAGAAATTCAGGTAGGCAGACGTGTGGAGAATCACTATGAGGGGAGGCCAGTCACGCTATTCCAAAGAGGCTGAAGGCCTGGCCGAGATTAGGGCAGAGGGGGTAGGCAGGCTCTTCAGCCAGAGTGGTGTGTTAGAATCCTGGTTCTGCCAGTTGGACATTAAGCTCTCCATCTCTCAGTTTTGTCATCTGTAATGTGGAGATATTAAGAGTTCTTGGCCGGGTCCAGTGGCTCACGCCTGTAATTCCAGCAGTTTGGGAGGCCGAGGCAGACAGATCACTTGAGGTCAGGAGTTTGAGACCAGCCTGGCCAACATAGCAAAACTGTCTCTACTAAAAATAAAAAATTAGCCAGGTGTGGTGGTGCATGTTTGTAATCCCCACTATTCGGGAGAGAATTGCTTGAACCTGGGAAGCAGAAGTTGCAATGAGCCAAGATCATGCCGCTGCACTCCAGCCTGGGCGACAGCAAGAGACTGTCTCAAAAAAAAAAAGAGTACTTAATCTTATAGGCTTCTTCTAAAGGTTATAAGAGTTAATATATTTAAAGTGCTTGGGAAAAATACCTGGGATCTACTCATAGCTTGATAAAAGTTTTTTTTAAGAGACCGGGTGTCGTTCTGTCACCCAGGCTGGAATGCAGTGGTGCAGTCATAGCTTACTGCAGCCTTGAATTCTTGGGCTCAAGCAATCTTCCTACCTCAGCCTCCTGAGTCACCGGGATTATAGGTGCAAGCCATTGTGCCCAACTTGATAAACGTTATTATCATCGAGTGTGGAAGCTGAGGAAGAGAGAGGAGCCCCCAACTTTCTGGCATGGGTGACTGGGTAGCTATTCCTGAGGAAAGAGGTTAGAGATGAAAGTGCCCAGTAGTTAGCTGCACCTGAAGCTGTTTAGTACACAAGAGTGTTCTGGGACATCAGTTTGGGCCAGATTGTTTAGTCTAGAGGCGGAAGGGGAAGTGGAGGACACCAAAAACTGAGAAGAGAACCAAGAACAGAATTGGGCGGTGGGAGTGGGGATCTCCAGCTTCACAGTGCAGGAGGTGAAACGGGTCAGGAAGGAAACTTGAATGGAATGGTGAGCAAGATGGGAAGACAGGCAAGAATGGGGCCTAGGAGTTGAGAGTTTTGTGAAGGAGTGGTCACCATTCACGCCCAGATAATGGCTGTGGGCAGTTGTTTTTGACTTTGTCAAGAGCACTTAAAATGAATGGGGACCAGATGGGAGGCAGGGAAGTGGGACCAGCAAGACTGAAGAGAACTCAGGATGTTTAGCTGCCAGAGGAAGGTGTGGGAGAAGGCAGCGGCAGAAAAGAACATGAAGGCAGAGGAGAAACTTCGTTTCTCTAAGATAAGAGACTTGACCCTTTGTTTACTAAGGGGAAGAAGCTGCTGGTGAAAAAATATTGGTACTTATGGGATCGTTAGTGCTGAGCCTTCCAGTGGAATTTCACAAAACACTTGAGCATTGAATGTTGGTTAAGACAGTGGAGTAGAGGCAGAGAGGGCATTCAGGGCAGAAGAATTTGTCAGCAGATAGTTTCCCATTTCTTTATTCAGCAAACAATCATTAAAAATTCCATGCCAAGCCCATCGCTGGGTGCAGGGTTACAGACATGGCCTGGATTCTGGAACATGGTTTCTCAGAATGTAGTCGGAGTCCCTGCATCTGAATCACCTGGGCATTTGGTAATGTAGCAGGACGAGTCGCAGACAAAACTCCTCAGACACCGGATTAAAGAAGGAAGAGGTTTTTTATTCATCCGGGAGCGTCGGCAGACTCGTGTCTTAAGAGCCGAGCTCCCCGAAAAAGAAATTCCTAGCCCTTTAAAGGGCTTACAACTCTAAAGGTCTATGTGAAAGAGTCATAATAGATCAAGTAAGCGTGAGGAACGTGACTGGGGGCTACATACATCAGCTAACAGAACAAAAAGTTTTACAGTGCTTTCTCATACAATGTCTGGAATTTACAGATAACACCAGTAGTTTTGGTCAGGGGTTAATATTATTATTATTTTAACCACCAGGGCCAGGTGGTGGCACCAAGGTCGTCTAGCTATTTATCTTACTTCTGTTTCTTTCCAACTTTTTGCTTTCTCCCTTTTCTCCTGTCTTATAAACTAGGGAAAAGGGGAGGTTGGGGAGAAACTGGGAAGGACAACAGGAGAAGTGCTGGTCTCATACCATAGTAAAAATGCAGATTCCTGGTCTCACTGAGATAGTCCAGTGAGAGAGGAGCCAGGGAAGCTGCTCTTCTCCCTGGGTCCCCAGGAGCAGCCCCTGCAGGTGCAGTGAACTTAAGAGAACTGCTTTTCTGAAGTAGAGGGTTCTAACCTGAGGGAAGTCTGTGAATGAAAGTCTACTCTGAATGATATCCTAGAGGAGTTTTACAGTGGAGAACCTGCTCTGAACCAGGGACTTTAAAACCTTATTTCTTTTCCTGTTTGCACAGCCCACAGAAGAAGAAGCATCTTCAAAGGAGGATTCTGCACCTTCTAAGCCAGTTGTGGGGATTATTTACCCTCCTCCAGAGGTCAGAAATATTGTTGACAAGACTGCCAGCTTTGTGGCCAGGTAACAGAGCTACTTGGGTGGGTCAGAGGTGGGTTTCAGCATGAAGAGACTTCAGCACTGAATCAGCACAAGGGTTTTTAAAGAGACGTTGTTGGCTTGGGCCTTTTAGTTCATAAAAAACCACAACATGGCACTGGGGTAGGCAATAGGTAGGACTGGTGTCCCTGACACAGCATAGCAGTGGCCAAAGTGAGAATCACACTTAGCCCCACAGTCACCAGGAGCCTCTGCTTCTAAAACTGGCCTGAGGAAATGCCTGGAAAGCTGCTTCATCACAGATGGTGTGTGTCTGTGCCTGAGCTGCTGGCCTGAGGAAGATAAAAAGGGGAGTTTATTATTCTCATTGTACAAAGACCACATTCCAAGAGCCTCAAATGACCCATCTGCAAAATGGAAAAAATGCCATCTCAGAGTTGTTGTGAGGCGGGAGTGAGGTCATGGGGCTGCATGCAGTTCAGTTCCACGCGGGTGCTAGTCACCTCCTCAGATGGCATGGGCATTGCTCCGAGTTCCTCCTGTCTCTCCTCACAGTTCCATGCAGGTGCTAGCCGCCACCTCAGATAGAATGGGCATTGTTCCGAGTTCCTCCTGTCTCTCCCCACAGTTCTGTGCAGGTGCTAGCTGGCTTCTCAGATGGAATGGGCATTGGTCAGAGATCCTCTCTCTCCCCACAGTTCCATGCAGGTGCTAGCCGTCTCCTCAGATGGAATGGGTATTGCTCTGAGTTCCTCCTGTCTCTCCCCACAGTCCTGTGCAGGTGCTAGCTGGCTTCTCAGATGGAATGGGCATTGGTCAGAGATCCTCTCTCTTCCTACAGTTCCATGCAGGTGCTAGCCGCCACCTCAGATGGAATGGGAATTGCTCCGGGTTCCTCCTGTCTCTCCCCACAGTTCCACGCAGGTGCTAGCCGCCACCTCAGATGGAATGGGAATTGCTCCGAGTTCCCCCTGTCTCTCCCCACTGTACTTACCCTCACATCCTTAGATGGAATTTTTTTACTGGCCCCTTGACTCCAAAGGTCAGTACATTCTCTAGGGTATTTAAGGTATTCCTTTGGCAGCCCTCAGTCCATGTCCAGCCTACAGATGTTTTGTTTGTCCTCACAGTAATTTTTTCGAAACTCAAATTTGTTGCTACTATTTAAAAATGAGGAGGTCAGGTGCTGTGGCTCTTGCTTGTAATCCTAGCACTTTGGGAGCCCAAGGTGGGAAGATCACTTGAACTCAGGAATTTGAGACTAGCCTGGGCAACATAGTGAGACCCTGTCTACAAAAAATAAAAAGTTATCTGGCTGTGGTGGCATGGGCCTGTGATCCCAGCTACTTAGGAGGCTGAGGCAAGAGGATCGGTTGGGCCCAGAAGGTTGAAGCTATAGTGAGCCATGGACTCTAGCCTGGGTGACAGTGAGACCCTGTCTCAAAAAAAACAAAACAAGTAAAAATGAGATTTCACAATCAGTCTGGATTTCTGGACAGTTCCTTCATGTGTGGAAGCAGGCCCAATCAGCATGTGTTCTCCAGGGACCACGTCACCCCCCTGAGGCAGTGTCTCAGTCAGTATGCATCATTTAACGGATGGTCCTTCCTTTCCCAACCTAATAAAATTAGACATAAAGATTACTTTGGTTAGACTTTCTTTTTTTTTTTTTTAAATGACATGGAGTCTCACTCTGTTGCCAGGCTGGAGTGCAGTGGTGCAGTCTCAACTCACTGCAACCTCTGCCTCCTGGGTTCAAGTGATTCTCCTGCCTCAGCCTCCCGAGTAGCTGGGACAACAGGCGTGCGCCACCACGCCCAGGTAATTTTTGTATTTTTAGTAGAGACGTGGTTTCACCGTGTTGGCCAGGCTGGTCTCAGTCTCTTGACTTAATGATCCCCCGACCTGGGCCTCCCAAAGTGCTGGGATTACAGGCGTGAGCCACGGCACCAGCCTACTTTGGTTAGACTTTCACTATGTCAGCTCTGCAGATTCATCTCATTACATTTCAAGGGCTTTGATTACCTTTGAGTATTAGGTTGAAAGCTTCTCTGTGCTTGATTGAACATTGTGATGATGTTGATTGGGTCATGTCAGATTTAGACAGTGTTGTGTTTAAGATAAATGTTTAATGGCTCTTAGCAGTGTTCATGCCTCCCCTTTTCCCCTGATACTTTAAAAACAGAATATACAGAAAAGGGGAGTTGGGTGAAGAATCACCATATTCTCATTACCAGAGTAGTGTCTACCAGCTGTTTTCACATTTTTCTGTTTCCTTCTGTCCTTGGAATCCTTTTTTTAGATCCTTGTAATACTAGTAAAGATATTCCACTCTGTGTTGTAAGCATTTTTCCATTTTGCTCCATGGTCTTCATAATGCCCTGTGGTCCTTTATTAAGGGGATGCACCATGTAGAGGTGAAAGGCTTTCCTTGACTTGGCCACCATTTCTGTATTTTCCTTAGAGGAGGAGGTTTCCAACATTTCTTTTTTAGAGACAGAGTCTCGTTCTGACACGCAGGCAGGAGTGCAGTGGCATGATAACAGCTCACTGCAGCCTTGAACTCCTGGGCTCAAGTTATCCTCCCACCTCAGCTTCCTGAGTAGCTAGGACTACAGGTGCCTGCCACCACACCCAGCTAATTTTTTTTTTATTTTTTTTATTTTTTTTAGTTTTTTTGTATAGATGGGGTCTTTCTGTGTTGCTCAGGTTGGTCTTGAACTCCTGGCCTCAAGTGATCCTCATGTCTCAGCCACCACAAGGTGGCTGGGATTACAGGCAGTGACCACCGCACCTGGCCTGTTCCCAACATTTCATTTTGGCAAATTAAGCTGTGGGGAAATCTCTGAGCATTTTCTTTCCCTTTTAGATCGTTTCCTTAGAAGAAAATTCTGTGTGGCTCATTATTGGCTAAAAGAGCATCCTTAAAAGATTTCTTAAACATTTTGCCAAGTAGCTTTCCAATAATTTTGTGCCATCCTCTGCTGCTAAAGAAATAAGAGGATATCCAAGGTCCCTTTAAATATATATGACCAGGTTAGGTGGCTCACGCCTGTAATCCCAGCACTTTGGGAGGCCAGGGTGGGAGGATCGCTTGAACCCAGGACTTGGACACCAGTGTAGGCAATATAGTGAGACCCCTGTCTCTACAAAAAATAAAAAAATTAGCTGGGCATGGTGGCGCATATCTGTATTTCTAGCCACTTGGGAGGATCACTTGAGCCTGAGAGGTCAAGGGTATGATCATGCCAGCGTACTCCAGCCTGGGGCGATAGAGCAAGACCCTATCTCAAAAAAAAAAAAAAAAAGAAAGAAAAAAATCCAAAACCATGCACATCCCTAGATTGATTTTTAGCTATGGTGATTGCTTTTGTAGGCATTTCTAAAATCTGTGAGCCAGTGTGGTGGCTTACACCTGTAATCCCAGCACTTTGGGAAACTGAGGTGGGCAGATCACCTGAGGTCAGGAGTTCAAGACCAGCCTGGCCAGCATAGTGAAACCTCGTCTCTACTAAAAATACAAAAAATTAGCCAGGTGTGGTGGCGGGCGCCTGTAGTCCCAGCTACTTGGGAGGCTGAGGCAGAAGAATCGTTTGAACCCGGGAGGCAGAGGTTGCAGTGAGCCAAGATTGTGCCACTGCACTCCCACCTGGGTGACGGAGCGAGACTCCGCCTCAAAAGTAAATAAATAAATAAAATCTGTGAACTTATCGTTTACATTGCAACAAAGAGACCAATATCCGAGTTAAAGCAGGCATGCAGAACTCTGTGCTTCACTTCTCCTGGGTTCACGTATATTTATGGAGCATGCAGTAGAAATGCACAACTGAGCGGTTTTCCAAAAGTTTTTTCGCTAGGTTAGGCCTTTTCATTTCCTGCATGTTCCTGTCAAGAAACTGAAGTGGAAATTACCCTTAAAAAGTCCCACCAGCTGGGTTGAGTCAGAATCATGTCTTTTTCTGTTGAAATCTATTCCTTCTGGTGGAGAGTATGATTCTAAAATTAACGTTAAGCTAATTTAAAGCAACTGAATAGCTTGGAATGAACATGCCAAGCCTTCTCATTGTTTTATTTTTCAGATTGTTCCCAGATGGGGTAAAGTTATGGCTTAGGCAGTGGTACAGGAGACAACCAGGGCCCCTTTTTCCAGGAGCCCTTTGTCTGCCCGAGGCATTTGCTGGGTATAGTGGCCTAGTTTAGCAGGATTTAAGTGTGCATTCACCTTCATTCTTATGTGTGGTTTGCATTATTTAAGGAGTAGGGAGAATTTTTTTTCCAAAGCATGAGGTTCCAGTTAGACTAATATACTGTCAAATTGAGACCTCATGGTGTTAGTTACACGGCAGGGTATGACCACGACTTGCTGAGGAGCCAGCCTGGGTGTCGATCACTAGTGTGGCACATAATTGCTGTGGTGGTTGATCTGGGGCACAGCACTGCCTGTACCCTGTCTCCTGCCATCTGTCTTAAAAAAAATTTAAAAAATTTTTGTTTTCAGAGGTGAAATTTCATTTTGTTGCCCAGGCTTGGGTATGATCTTCTGGGCTCAAGTGATCCTCTCGCCTCAGCCTCCTGAGTAGCTGGGACTACAAGTGTGCGCCACTGTGCCGGGCTCCCACCCCCTCTTAAACTCACAGGCCAGGGATATGAAAGTCTGAAGAGTGGAGCTGGCTAGCTGGCACCAGATGCCGGGGCCATGCCTTGGTGTGTTTGGGGCAGTTCTAAGTACAAGGTTCTCGCCAGAGGAGCAATGGAAGGCCCCACAGACAATGTTTATGGAACAACCCCTCCTAGCCCCTTGCATTTGCAGGCCACTGTACGATTTGAAAAGACTTTGAGGGCTGGGTTCAGTGGCTCACGCCTATAATCCTATCACTTTGGGAGGCCAAGGCGCTTAAGCGCAGGAGTTTGAGACCAGCCTGAGCAACATGGTGAAACCCCGTCTCTACAAAATGTAAAAAAAAAATTAGCCGAGCATGGTGGTATATGCCTGTAGTCCCAGCTACTCAGGAGGCTGAGGTGGGAGGATCCCTTGAGCCCAGGAGGTGGAGGTTGCAGTGAGCTGAGATTGTACCACTGCACTCCAGCCTGGGTGACAGAGTGAGACCCTGTCTATAAAACAAAAACACTTTGGCATCTCCTCAATAATGTTTCAAGGTAGAAAGGGAAACTGGTGTTAGCTGCATTTTACACATGGGGAAATGGAAGCAAAGAGTAGTTTGGTAACTTGCTGTGGGTCAGAGTGAGTCAGCAGTGAACCTGAGACTTGAACGTGTTCATATCTTGTGTCTTTAAGGTCCGTGTACTTTCTGACTGACACAGGTGTTGTATATAAGTGTGGCACTTTGAATATTACTGTTGGGACATTTTAAAAATCAGGGTTCCCTAAACATCATTATAGGGACATTTTTTCATTATCCTGAGGTTTTGAAGGCTTGCTGGGGACATGGGGCATATCTGGGGAACCATCCCAGGTACAGACAGTGGTTGGAGACCTCCCTGCTGATCTTACCACACCCCTGTCATCTGAAGGTGCCTTATACAGCTGTACGAGTCTGGGTTTTTGCTGAGGATGTTTCCTGTGTGGGCCTCACCAGTATAATGGGGGTGGTTTTAGGGAGTACTTGGACAAGGCGTTAAACCAACTATTTGTTTTTTGTTTGTTTGTTTGTTTCTTAAAGACAGGGTCTTGCTCTGTTTTCCAGGCTGGAATACGGTGACACGATTCTAGCCCACTGCAGCCTCAGACTCCTGGGCACAAGTGATCCTCCCACCTCAGCCTCCTGAGTAGCTGGGACTAGAGGCACACACCACCATGCCCAGTTAATTTATTTTTATATTTTTTTGTAGAGTTAGGGTCTTTTCTTGTTGCCCAGGCTCAAATCAACTAAATTTTCATGTCTTTCAGTCTTTCTTGTTACTCAGAGGACAAAGTCTAGGTTTGGTGCTCATGTACCTTTTACACCTCTCCAGCACTTGCTACCCCTTTGAACTAAGAGAATTAGTCTCAGCAAACTTCCAGCTAAACTTTGACAGTATTACTTTGTTTTCATTATGTTCACTTTTGACTACCTTTTGTTGGTAAAGGCATACTGATTTTTTTTTATTTGAAGTAGTAATATGTATTCTCCATCTTAAATAGATTTTTTTTAAAGTAAATTTTATTAAAAGAAATGAGCGATAGCCTAGATGGTTTTGGAAATGGCAGAACTGGAAAAGGAGCTAAGGAATGACTGGGTTCAGGGAAACCCTGTGGCAGAGGTGGCCTGGTTCAAGCTGAATGAGGCAGATGGCACTGATCGCCAATGCCAGGAAGCTAGAGGAGGACGTCTGCTGAGGGATGGGCTGGTTTGAGCAGTGGGTGGTGGCAAGAAGGACGTTCCAATGGGCAGTGTTCTAGATCACAGCAGGCACAAGGGAGTGGTGTTTATTCTTGTTGTTTTTTCTTCCTCCAGAAACGGGCCTGAATTTGAAGCTAGGATCCGACAGAACGAGATCAACAACCCCAAGTTCAACTTTCTGAACCCCAATGACCCTTACCATGCCTACTACCGCCACAAGGTCAGCGAGTTCAAGGAAGGGAAGGCTCAGGAGCCGTCCGCCGCCATCCCCAAGGTCATGCAGCAGCAGCAGCAGACCACCCAGCAGCAGCTGCCCCAGAAGGTTTGGAGCCCAGTGCCCCCTTCACTTACGCAGGGCTTGAGAGGGAAACAGGGATAGGGAGGGAGTACACAATTAACTCCAAATCTCACAACCACCCAGGGAGAGAAGTGAGGTCGTTATCCCCATCTCTCAGAGGCAGACCGAGGCCCAGACAGCAAAGTACTGATGTTAGTTGGCATTTCCCGAGCACTGCTTGTCAAGCTCTGTGCTTGGTACTTCAGGAGTCTTGTCTCATTGACTCCTCACAGAGGCTGTATGAGGAACCTGAGAGTTGGGGGACGTGTGATTTATTCAAGGCCTTGCTCAGGGTGTGAGGGCAGTGCCGTGATGTGAGGGCAGCACTTCCTACTTGGCTGTGCTGAAGGATGCAGTGTGGCCTGTGGGCTCCTCCTTGTGCCATCCCTTCCCTTCTATCTCTTCTTCCCAGGACCCCTCCATCCTGGCCTCCCCTGATACCACCTTCCCTGTGCTGAGGCCCAGCACTAGGGACTATTAGGATTATGAATGAAGAGAGAGGCTGACATGTTTTTCCTCCTGTCCAGACCTGCCTTCTGCACTCCTGAACCATGGTGGAAAAGGCAGTCCCTCCTTTTGCAGTGGGCTATAAAGGTTGAAGTCAGGTTCTAAGACCTTGCGTTGCAATGAGGCCTAGGACCTCAGGCTACCTCAGTTTCTTCATCTGTAAAGAGGATTCACAGTACCTGTGCTACCTCATCGTTCATGCGGAGGTCATGGAAACACTTTGTACAGTGGGGTTTTCTGCACACATGTAGGCCTTCTGCACATCCATCCCTCTTGGATGGGATTTAATAAGTCCTATTCTTGTTGGATCTTCTGTCACCCAGTTTTGGCCCTCAATTTCAAGGCAGGAGCAGAGATACAGAGGGGAATGGTTCTCACTCAGCCATTCAGGAAGTTGAGGCCATAGTTGGCTGGGAAGTCAATGCTCTTGTGATTTAGAATTCTCTCACACCAAGTGCTAGTGGTGTGTGCATAATTAACAGAAGTCTAGAGGTTCACAGCATCCTGCTGAGGGGTGCATGCCCATGTCCCCTCCCCTCCCCTCCCCTGGAGCCTGTTCACCCCTGTGCCTCTCGCCTCATACTCCCTTTGCATCTTAGGTCCAAGCCCAAGTAATCCAAGAGACCATCGTGCCCAAAGAGCCTCCTCCTGAGTTTGAGTTCATTGCTGATCCTCCCTCTATCTCAGCCTTCGACTTGGATGTGGTGAAGCTGACGGCTCAGTTTGTGGCCAGGAATGGGCGCCAGTTTCTGACCCAGCTGATGCAGAAAGAGCAGCGCAACTACCAGTTTGACTTTCTCCGCCCACAGCACAGCCTCTTCAACTACTTCACGAAGCTAGTGGAACAGTACACCAAGGTGCCTGGGCAGGATGGGGCTGGGGTCCTGGGCCCAGGAAAGGAAAACATCTTATGCTTGGAAGCACTGTGTCCACTCACTGTCTACAAGGACATCGCTTCTCCATGGGGCCTCTGAGCAAATGTTTTGAATCCCAGTTTAATGTAAAACCTTGATTTCTATTCAGTTATTTCTTTAAGTGCAACACAGACTGCCGGTTTCTAAAGAGAAGGGAAATACATGCTTGCTAACTACCATTAGGCGATTGCCTGCTATGTGACAAGGCCACGTGGTGCTTGCTGCTTTTAAGTGCATTTCCGTTTTCAGTTGCCTAGTAAGGCCCTGAGAAGAAGCCAACCTTTAAGAGTTGCCTCCTTTTACCTAACTTAGTCCTCACAAGAAGCCATGAGGTGTTTTCCCCCCATGTTTGAGAAGCAGAAACAGGCTCAGAAAGGTGAAGTCACGTACTCAAGGTCTGTCAGCTAGTAAGTACTATGCTGAGATTTAAACCACATTTGACCCTAAAACTTTGGTTCTTCAGCTTATAAAGTGCCTTAAATTGGAAACAGCATTTAAATAGGTGTTGAGAGACACTTTGATGTCATGTAAGTCAGTATAACTAACATCACTAAGAAATTATGTATGCAGCATCTTCTCATTTAATCTCCGGTAGCCTATAAGGTAGCCACTATTGCTATGTTCACTTTACAGAAGAGAAAATTGAGGTGCAGTGAAGTTAGCATGGCCAGGGTCACATAGCTAGGAGGTGGCAGGGCTGGGGCTTGAGCTCTGGCATTTTTACTCCAGACCCTAAGAACTCAATTATCATTTGACAGAGCTGCAATCAAGAATCAGGACAAGTCAGTTCTGGCATTTAAAATAATCAGATTATTAATTTATTGCAAAGTGCACTGACAGCTTTGCCTGTGGCACATTTTTCTTGCTACACATGTCATGGAGGTTGTTTTCCTTCCCTTTACAGTGGGATGGTCTGTACATCTCTTCTTCATATCCAGAAACAACACCTCAAAGATCTGACTTGAAAGGACTTGAGAATTTCCTAACTCTACTCACTTTTAAGTACATAATTAGAATTTTAACAATGTGTGTGTTTAGAAAATGACCAAATCCAGAAGCTAGTATGGTAGCTAAAATAACAGTCATTCAAGGCCCAAGGCCCAAGGGTTTCTATAAATATGCAATATCAATTTTAAATGAACCCTGGATTAATTTCTCCCAGTGGACTGCTTCCAGGGTTAAAGGTCCCAGATCACTTTTTATTCTGTTACTTTCCTGTTTTTTCTTCAGAACTTGGGTATTGGCATTTACCACTGTAACTTGAGGTTCCTGCTGTCTGTTCTAGCCATGGAAGACTGAGCAGATAGATTCTTGGGGTAGAGGTGGAAGGAGGATTGGGATAGGGCCGAGCCACTTTGCCAGTGGCAGTAGAAGCTGTTGGGGCTGTTTAGAACAAAGGCAGCATTTGTTCTCTCAGTAAGTATACATTGTCAGACATTATTCAGGGGGCTGGAGATGTAATCGTGAACAAAAGAGAAATCCCTGTCTTCATGGAGTTTCTAGTCTAGTGAGGAGGAGTCAAGTGCATTGTCAGTGTCTGTTACATGGTGCTAAATACTACAGAGAGAAAGCAGGGAGCAGAAATAGAGGGAGGTGGGGCAAGTACGCTGCGGTTCTGAATAGGATAGTCAGGGGGGACCTGCGTAGTGTTTTTGAAAGGATGAGAGCAGGTCAGTGTCATGAAAGCAGCCGTCTCATACTGACCGTGTTCTGGGTAATCGGCTAGTGCTTTGCATGCTTTCCTGCTAATCCTCGAAGCCACCTTTTTAAGTTCATGGTGCCAACTTTGAGTGGTGGTGCCATTATTTTGGAGAAGGAAATCAAGTTACTGAGGTTAAGTAACTTGCCCTAAGTCCCACAGCCAAGTGGAGCTGGGATTGGGACACAGAATCCCATGCTTCCTCATCTCCTGTGCTTTATCACAGGCCCAGGAAGGCTGCCTCTTTGTACTGCGTTGTAAAGCACTGACAGTTGCTTTAACTCTTCTGTATTTCAGATCTTGATTCCACCCAAAGGTTTATTTTCAAAGCTCAAGAAAGAGGCTGAAAACCCCCGAGAAGTTTTGGATCAGGTAAACTGAATAGCATTTCTTGCAACCAGTTACTGGTGGTTGGTTCTGTTTTATGTCTGAAAACAGTCTCTGAGGCAGGACCTTGTTATGTTCCAGTCATGGGAATGGTGGGAGAAAAGGCTTTGTTGGCTACAAAGGCCAAAGAAACCTGGAGTCCGGATGCTTCCCAACATACCACAACTTTCTGCTTTGCTCTCAGCCTCAATATATCTCCCTCTTTTCCACTCTAGCTAGAAGACAGAAGGCCAGCTCCCAAGCAGATCAGAGGGTGGAATTTTCATTCTGTCCCAACTCTGCACCTGGGTGGAACCAGGTGCAAATGCCATAGTTTGGAACCATACTTCCATTCTGTTCCGAAGGAGGCGCTGACTTTGATGAAAGCCCTGGAGGTGGTAGCCTCATCAGGAGCAGACCCTGCTTCAGCGTAGCACCAAGCTGTTTCCCATCTCTGCAGGTGTGTTACCGAGTGGAATGGGCCAAATTCCAGGAACGTGAGAGGAAGAAGGAAGAAGAGGAGAAGGAGAAGGAGCGGGTGGCCTATGCTCAGATCGACTGGCATGATTTTGTGGTGGTGGAAACAGTGGACTTCCAACCCAATGAGCAAGGTAGGTCTGTGAGGAGTGACTCCAGATGGGGAGCCAGGAACTCAGACTTCCCGGGAAACCTGGTGCAGGTGTTCCCAGAGAGCAGTAGAATCTCTCAGAGGGCTTTATCAGTGCTGTCTCCTCCCTGCTCCCAAAAGACTTCAGTTCTACCACTTTGCCCAACTTAGATTCAATACGTACTTGCCAGACCCTAGATGGGCCTCTGGAGATAGCTGGAGAGAAAACAGACATGGCCCCAGCCCTTGGGGAGCTCAGACAGGGCAAATAGGTGGGTCTTTGATAAGGAATACCTTTGCCTCTGGCTCACCCTCTAGGGAACTTCCCTCCCCCCACCACGCCAGAGGAGCTGGGGGCCCGAATCCTCATTCAGGAGCGCTATGAAAAGTTTGGGGAGAGTGAGGAAGTTGAGATGGAGGTCGAGTCTGATGAGGAGGATGACAAACAGGAGAAGGCGGAGGAGCCTCCTTCCCAGCTGGACCAGGACACCCAAGTACAAGATATGGATGAGGTAAGCTGCTGGGCAGGCCTGCAGGATGACCTTTTCCCCTGAAGCCCCAGGAGGTCGAAGTGCTCTCCACCAGTCAGATCCAGCTCCCCTGTGAGCCTTGAAAGGAGGCGTGGGTCCTGAACAAGGCCATACAGCTGCCCAAGTCCAGGCAGCACAGAGCCTCTTTCCAGCTCCGGCAACAAAGATTCATTCATAGGCAAGGATCTAAAAGCTGTGCTGACCTGTTCTGTGGCCGCCTCCCTGGCCCGGACAGCCTGCTCTCACTGCCTCGTGCCAGCCCTCAGGGAACTCACTGCATTACCCTGTTCTGTTTTGAGCTCTCAGCTGGGCTCCAAGCTCCCAGAGCTTTTCTAAATGTAGCCCACGCTTCCTTTCAGGCATCCCTACCCCCTTCAAGCCAGGCCCTCTAAGCAGGCATGGAGTCTCCAGAACCAGACTGTTCTCCCCCACTCGGAAATAATTTGTGCACAGCCTGAGAAGAAAGGGCCCCTGTCTGTGGGAAATGACTTTTTCTCTCCCTCCCAGCATTGCTGTGTGAGCAGCTACCATTGATTGGCGACTCGCCGCCCCCACCCCTCGCCCCCTTGGCACTGTCCCCCCCCGGCATGTTAAGTGCCCTTGGCCTCTTGGGACTGCCTGGTGCCAGCTGCTGGAAATGCCTGGGAGGAGTGCTAGGACCGTGGCCTCAGCACTCCCATTCATGCTGTGAGGAAGCAGCTTGGCCTGCTGCCGGCTGGCCTCAGCTGCCCTGGGAGGCTTAGCACATGGACGCTGGCTGGCAGAGGCCAAGGCTCCTTGCCACCCAGAGACCTGCCAGGCTCAGCTACAGGGAGGTGGCCTCAGCCCCTCTCTGAGTCCTGCCATTGCTTTGCTTTTCAGGGTTCAGATGATGAAGAAGAAGGGCAGAAAGTGCCCCCACCCCCAGAGACACCCATGCCTCCACCTCTGCCCCCAACTCCAGACCAAGTCATTGTCCGCAAGGATTATGATCCCAAAGGTAGGGAGGGCCTGCTTCCCAACCCTCGGGCTGCCCAGGAAGTCCTGTGTGCCCTCATGTGTTCCTCACACCCGTCTTTCTAGGAGGGCTTGAGGTGCAGCTTATTGTAAAAGCATTGCAAGCCCGTCTGTTACAGGTTTCATGGTGGGAACAGGGCCCAGTCATCTCTGGTGCCCTAGTGCCTTTCACAGTGCCAGGTACAAGAGTGGCACTGAATAGATGCCTTGATGAATGATGCACGCATGAAATACCACCCTCTTAACTCAGGTGGCTGCCCACCAGTGTTCTTACTGAAACATCTGTTTCCTTTTAGCCTCCAAGCCCTTGCCTCCAGCCCCTGCTCCAGATGAGTATCTTGTGTCCCCCATTACTGGGGAGAAGATCCCCGCCAGCAAAATGCAGGAACACATGCGCATTGGACTTCTTGACCCTCGCTGGCTGGAGCAGCGGGATCGCTCCATCCGTGAGAAGCAGAGCGATGATGAGGTGTACGCACCAGGTGAGGTGGGGGTTCCAGGAGAGCCCATGGTAGTCTCCGAATTACAGCCATCTTCTTCTAAGCAAACATAGAAAGCAACAATTGAGGTCAACAAAAGCTTTTGAGGAGAGTTGCACTCTATGATATTGCAAGAGAACTCCCCACTTTCCAGAAGAACTCCCCATAGAAATTCCCCAAAGGCAGACACTGAAGGAGATGCCATGTGCCTGTTGACATCCCAGAGCAAGCTCTGGCTTTAGCTGGAAGGGCTTCCTGTGGCTGTTTAGAAGGAGAGCATTGATGGCTGGAGTACCATGAGCTCTTTGGAATGGGGCAGGAACTGTGCCACAGGTGGGAGACTGGGCTTCTAGTTTTGACTCTGCCACTTACACCATGTGGCCCTTTCCACACAGTTGCCCTCTCTAACTCACCATCTTATTTATTTATGTGTTTTATTTATGAATGACGGAGTTTCACTCTGTCTCCCAGGCTGGAGTGCAGTGGCTCCATGTTGGCTACTGCAACTTCCGCCTCTCACGTTCAAGCAGTTCTTCTGCCTCAGCCTCCCAAGTAGCTGGGATTACAGGCACGCACCACCACACCCGGCTAATTTTTGTATTTTCAGTAGAGACGGGGTTTCGCTATGTTGGCCATGCTGGTCTCGAACTCCTGACCTCAGATGTGATCCTCCTGCCTTGGCCCCCCAAAGTGCTGGGATTACAAGCATGAGCCACTGTGCCTGGCCTACCGTTCTTTTCTAAGTCAGAGGGGTTGCCCAAGCACTGGGTTTATAGGCTTAGATCGGGCAGCTTTCCCCGAGCCCAGAGGACAAGAGTTGGGGCCCTGAGTCACCCTCATCCCATGGAACCAGCCTCCTCCCTGCACACCAGAAAAGCTGCTCTCTTGTCAGGACACCTGGTTTATTTTCTCTTTCTATCCTCTGCCTCTGTTTTGTGACTGTACAGGTCTGGATATTGAGAGCAGCTTGAAGCAGTTGGCTGAGCGGCGTACTGACATCTTCGGTGTAGAGGAAACAGCCATTGGTAAGAAGATCGGTGAGGAGGAGATCCAGAAGCCAGAGGAAAAGGTGCGGCTAAAGTGGAACCTAGTGCCTTCTCTGCCCCCCGTCTTCCATACTTGGTCTTAGTTCCAGAAGCATTGTGGCTTTGCTTTCACTTGCAGGTGACCTGGGATGGCCACTCAGGCAGCATGGCCCGGACCCAGCAGGCTGCCCAGGCCAACATCACCCTCCAGGAGCAGATTGAGGCCATTCACAAGGCCAAAGGCCTGGTGCCAGAGGATGACACTAAAGAGAAGATTGGCCCCAGCAAGCCCAATGAAATCCCTCAACAGCCACCGCCACCATCTTCAGCCACCAACATCCCCAGCTCGGCTCCACCCATCACTTCAGTGCCCCGACCACCCACAGTAAGCCAGCATCTACCCTGGAACTGACTTTTTTAGAGCTTCATTCTTGAGGTCGGACACTGTTGGCTGAGAAGTGCAGCTGCCTTTTAGTGGGGCCTGAGTGTTGGGTGGGTCAGTTTGAAAGAGAAAGAGCCCTTTAAATGCAAGTGGGAACCTCTCTCTTGATCTGTTTGTGGAGGAGGGTTGGAACAGGGAGGGAGGTAAGTGGCAAATATGAGAAACCAGTTGGCGTCAGAGAAGGGCTGCAGGGCTTATTGGGTCTTTGAGGACTGTTGGCTTGTCTCCAGGAGAGACTTAGTCGAGGTCTCGGCCTCTTTTTTTTTTTTTTTTGAGATGAAGTTTTGCTCTTGTCGCCCAGGCTGGAGTGCAATGGCATGATCTTGGCTCACCGCAACCTCCGCCTCCCGAGTTCAAGTGATTCTCGTGCCTCAGCCTCCCAAGTAGCTGGGATTACAGGGATGCGCCACCATGCCCAGCTAATTTTGTATTTTTAGTAGAGATGAGGTTTCTCCGTGTTGGTCAGGCTGGTCTCGAACTCCCGACCTCCGGTGATCTGCCTGCCTTAGCTTCCCAAAGTGCTGAGATTACAGGCATGAGCCACTGTGCCTGGCCAAGGTCTCAGCCTCTTTAGTGACTCTTTCAGTGTTTGCCAAAGTAGCAGGTCGAGTTTGACCCGCCAAGTCCCAAGTAGAGAGAGTGTCATCCTCGGGCTCTCAGCAGCTCAGTTCCTATTGGACGCCCAGTGTAGGCCACAGTTTCTCAGTCCCAGGGGGCCAGGACGTAGTTGTCTAACCTCCATCCTCAGAGCTGCAGGCAGCCAGTTGCCAACTGTGTGTGACCTTGGAGTCCAACTTTGGCTTCCTGTAATCTGTGGGTCTCTTTCCTGCACAGATGCCACCTCCAGTTCGTACTACAGTTGTCTCCGCAGTACCCGTCATGCCCCGGCCCCCAATGGCATCTGTGGTCCGGCTGCCCCCAGGCTCAGTGATCGCCCCCATGCCGCCCATCATCCACGCGCCCAGAATCAACGTGGTGCCCATGCCTCCCTCGGCCCCTCCTATTATGGCCCCCCGCCCACCCCCCATGATTGTGCCAACAGGTCAGTATCTCTTGCATCATTTTCCAGGCCATTAGTTCAGGGACCACGGGCCAAGTACTGTCAGCAGAGCAGTGGCTGATGCTAGTGCCAGCTGTTCCAGCAGGGTATCCAGCCCAGAGGAGAGCCCTGGCTTCCCATTGAAAGATCCGCAACCCTAGAGCTGGGAGCCACCGTTCCTGGTAGAAATGAGAGGCTGAAATGGTGTAGCCAGTGTCTGTGCATTCAGGGATCAGGTCCCCAACAGGCTCAGAGGCCTGAGAAATGCTTGTTGCTTGGCACTAGCTCCATCCATCAGTCCTGCCCCTCCTGCAGTCCTCTGCTGTCCAATCTGGGCAGCCTCCCAGGTCCCCTTGCCAGGGAACCTGCTGGCTGCCAGACTTAGCAGGGAACAGCACTTGACACCTCTGACTAGAGGAAACCTTTGCAACCTTCCCTCTCAACTTCTCATCAGCCCTGAGTCCTGGGCCCCTTCTGCCCTCTCATGGGGCTGCTTATTCTTGTCTTTGCAGCCTTTGTGCCTGCTCCACCTGTGGCACCTGTCCCAGCTCCAGCCCCAATGCCCCCTGTGCATCCCCCACCTCCCATGGAAGATGAGCCCACCTCCAAAAAACTGAAGACAGAGGACAGCCTCATGCCAGAGGAGGAGTTCCTGCGCAGAAACAAGGTATGTAATCCCAGAATGCTGCTGAAGTTTCTAGCTGGAGGGTTCAGTCCCGCCCCTGTCGTACACTTGCGAAACTGACCCTATTTCACTCCCAGTCTTGGCTTCTGGGGCCTAGGTCAGCTGTTGGAGGCATCTAAGGGCTTCTGAGCACACAGTGAATGTGGGGCCAACAATTGGAGGAGCAGAGAGCATTGGTGGTGATGGTGATGGTAGTGGTGGCAGAGGTGGTGACTGTGGTGGTCCCTCTGGTGTAGACTTACAGAGGCCAACAGGGAGACCCAGCAGCACGGGCAGCACAACTCACGTGTGAGAGGGACCCTAGACACCTGGAGGAAATTGTGTGTGGTGTTTTAAAATTTACTGTGGCCTTCCTCCCCAGCTCTAGCCCTTAGGAGGTCTGCCTGTTGGGTGGGATCCTGTTGGGGTCCTGGAATAAGGGGAGGTGGGGACCTTGTCACTGCTAATCACTAGGGAAGCTGTCAGGCTGCAGTAAGGAGACAGAAACAGCCCCGGCCTCTGCTCCCCCAATGTATTTGACCAAATTGTTTCGTTTTGTTTTTGCAACCTCTGCCTCCCGGGTTCAAGTGATTGTTATGCCTCAACCTCCGGAGTAGCTGGGATTACAGGTGTGCACCACACACCCAGCTAATTTTTGTATTTTTAGTATTTTAGTAGAGATGGGGTTTCGCCACGTTGGCCAGGCTTGTCTTGAACTCCTGGCCGTAAGTGATCCACCACGCTGGCCTCCCAAAGTGCTGGGATTACAGGTGTGAGCCACTGCACCCGCTCTGTTTGTTTTTTAATAATAGTTCCCATTTCTTAAACGCTTAAGTACCAGGATAGAGCTAAGCACTTTACAGACACTTCCCCTCAATACTCAAAACAGTCATGAACCCTGTCTGGTGGATAATGACATTGAGGCTCAGACAAACCTTGTTAGCTGGGAAGCTGAGTTGGGAATCCAGGTCTTCCGACCCTGCAGGTCATATTCTTTTCCCTTGGGGTGTGCAGAGTATTTTCACTAAAGTTCTTCAGTTTAGCTCCAGACTCACCAAGAGACAAGATAGAGATTGTTTTAAAGAAAAGAAACCTAATCTTGCAAAGGGGGGTGACTTGTACAACCTCACAAGGGGTTATCAGTGGTGAATCAGGCCAGAATCCAGGAGCCCAGATGCACAGGTGACATTGTCTGGACAGGCCTAGGGATAGCAGAGCATAGTTCTTGATTGGCTCCGAGCTCCCTAGGCATAATGACCACCTCCTGTTTTGTAGGGTCCAGTGTCCATCAAAGTCCAGGTGCCCAACATGCAGGATAAGACGGAATGGAAACTGAATGGGCAGGTGCTGGTCTTCACCCTCCCACTCACGGACCAGGTATGGGTACTGCCAGAAACTGGCATCAGGTGCATGGGAACCAAGCATTCAGGGGAAAGCTTCCTCTAGCTGGCCTTACCAAGGAGTTGAATGACCGCTGCTTGATCCCACAGGTCTCTGTCATTAAGGTGAAGATTCATGAAGCCACAGGCATGCCTGCAGGGAAACAGAAGCTACAGTATGAGGTGAGTCAGTTTGTCCACAGACCTGTCCCTTGGGTCCTGACACCTCTGCTTTCACAGAAGCTAAATCTGTCATGGAAGCTAAAAGGGGAGTGGAGTGATATCTGGGTGTGGCCATCTGAATCCATCCTAGAAGTCATGATGCTGGCTGGGAGTGTTGGGGCAGGTGTGCCCAACAATGCAAGGCTCTGGTGGGGTCACAGTAGAGTCTTGTGTGGGATCTGTAAGATTCTTTGCCTCAATGACTGGGCATAGAGATTTAGTGACAAGACTTAGGCATGCTCTGGTGGGTTCCTGATCCAGTGGTTGGGCCATCCCTGCCAGTATGACCTCAGGCAGCCTGACTTGGAGGTGATAGTCTAGCCCCGCCTGATGCCAGGTCACATGGAGGCATTAATGTTCTTCTTCTCTGAACTTGAACAAATCCCTGCTCTGGGCCTCAGTTATCTCTATCCATTGAGGCTGTTGGGCTAAGTGATCCCTAAAGGTCTTGTGATTTCAGAGTCAGAGCTCCATGGAGTTGGTGAGGGGCCAACTTTTTGGGGAGTTGAGCTTTTGAGTCAAATGTTGACAAAGGGGAGGAGCGTAATTGGTGGGAAGAAAGGAAACAGTGGGAGGAATGAGAGGCCTCCAGTCCCCAACACCCTACCTTCTCACAAGCTCCTGTATTTGCTAAGTCCAGAGCGCAAACAGACCAAGTGCACAGTTGTAAGGTTGCAGCGGTATCCCCAAGGCTGGGTTGCCCCATGCTAAGGCACGCTGTCTGTTTTCCAGGGTATCTTCATCAAAGATTCCAACTCACTGGCTTACTACAACATGGCCAATGGCGCAGTCATCCACCTGGCCCTCAAGGAGAGAGGCGGGAGGAAGAAGTAGACAAGAGGAACCTGCTGTCAAGTCCCTGCCATTTTGCCTCTCCTGTCTCCCACCCCCTGCCCCAGACCCAGGAGCCCCCCTGAGGCTTTGCCTTGCCTGCATATTTGTTTCGCTCTTACTCAGTTTGGGAATTCAAATTGTCCTGCAGAGGTTCATTCCCCTGACCCTTTCCCCACATTGGTAAGAGTAGCTGGGTTTTCTAAGCCACTCTCTGGAATCTCTTTGTGTTAGGGTCTCGATTTGAGGACATTCATTTCTTCAGCAGCCCATTAGCAACTGAGAGCCCAGGGATGTCCTACAGGATAGTTTCATAGTGACAGGTGGCACTTGGCTAATAGAATATGGCTGATATTGTCATTAATCATTTTGTACCTTGACATGGGTTGTCTAATAAAACTCGGACCCTTCTTGTGAAATCAGTTAAATAAGACTTGTCTCGGTCACCTGTGCCCTGTCCAGACTCGAGGCAGTGGTAACACTGCACAGTGCTATGTGGCTTCTCTTTGAGGATTTTTGGGTTTTGTAACTAAATTCTTGCTGCCCTCATACTTTTTATGTATTAGAATCATATTCGTATTGCCCTTTTAAAACATTGGGATCCTCCAAAGGCCTGCCCCATGTATTTAACAGTAATACAGGAAGCATGGCAGGCACCATGCAAACCAAGGATGGATGGTGCAGTCCCTGTGTCAGTGGGCGGTGGTTTCCTGCTGGCCTGGAATCACTCATCACCTGATTGATTGGCTCTGTGGTCCTGGGCAGGTGCCTCATAGGTGTGTGGATATGATGACGTTTCTTTAAAATGTATGTATTTAACAAATACTTAATTGTATTAAGGTCATGTACCAAGGATTTGATAAAGTTTAAATAATTTACTCTCTACTTTTATCCATTTTATCCATTTTAACTCATGTAATCCTCATGTGAGTATTCCTGTTTAACACTTGAGTAAACTGAGGCACAGAGAACATAAGTTGCATGCCATAGTCACACACTGTGAAAGTGAAAAGAGAATGTGTGCAAAACACGTCACAGTCCTGGTTTCTGAGTAAAGGCAGGCTGTTATCTTTAGAATCAAGCTATCACAGGGAGATAGGCAATGCTGTGGGTGTTGGAGGAAGGTGAGAGCCTGTTGCTAACAATTTCCTGGTTTTAAAGCTAAGGCTGATTTTATTGGGAAGATCTCACATGTGTGTGGCCCCTGAGAGTTCCCAGTGCCTTTTATTTGCAGTCCTTCCATTTGGACCTCCTAGCTGCCCCATCAGGTCATCTCCAGGGCTCAGAGGGGTGAGACCATTTCCCAAGGTCACAGAACCAGCTCTCTAGTCACCACCCTGCCTCTCCCTCTCACCCAGAGTCAGTACCAGTTTTATGGCTTTATTACAAACTGCTGGGTCCCTCCCATTTTCAACTTGATTGATGGGATGTCATCCCTTATCCTGTCTGACATTTGCCTCTGGCCTGGTTGCTAGAAGTTTGCCCCAGGGGCAAGAGTTGAAATTTGGCTTCCTGAGGTGGGCTTTGTGGTTTGCGTCCCTAAAGTGAGCCCACTACTGGTTGCTTGTCCATGGCCAACACCAGAAATCCCCTGAGCACTACCTGGGTCTCATTCCAAGAAGGAAGAGGGTCAGGAGACCTGGGGAGTCTCATATTCCAAGTTCTTCTTTCTTTCTGGGAGCAGTGGGCAGTTCATGGTGTTAGGGCACTCACCCCCACAGACTGGCAAACCCTGCAGGACTTCCGTGGCTGAGGCTGTGACCGGAGGCCAGGAATGCCGTTGGGTGGATTGTGAGTGAATGGGCCCTTTGAGCTGCCCTCTAGAGAGCAAATCCAGTTTCCTGGAGCTCCTGAATGAATATCTGTACTGGCTCGCTCAGATGCAGAAGCTCCATTGACCATGAGGCCTTGTGAACATCAGTGGCCACAGGCCCAGTGTGCTGCTTGGCACTGCACTAGTTTAGGACCTGCAGCATGTAGGTAGCGTCCTAGTGTTTATAATACAAAGCTGCTCTGCACAGCTTTTCTGATTCTTCTTGCAATCTCCTGAGGATTATCTGCCCCATTTTTAAAACGAGGTGGAATACCCAAGGTCATGTAGCCAGTGAGTGCTCTGGAAAGCCAAAGCAGCTCATCCCTTCCTGGGGACCACACTGCTCTGCTCCACCAGACCACACTATGAAATAGGAATAAGTGCTCCTGTTGCAGGACTGCTGGGAAAACAGGTGGTGTGGGACTTAAGTCACCATAATTTTGAAGACTTGCATGCAGAGGGCTCCAGGAATTGTAGACATTAAGGAATTTCACTTTCAGTTCTACCCACTACTTAAGTACTTGTCATGTACTCTTAGAGGAGGCCAGTAATGATCAGAACCATTTTACTTTAAAATTAATAATATTGTATTAGAGAATATATTAAATGGTTATATTGGGTTATGTTAGGATATATACTTGAATGGAAATACATGTACTATTAGCAATCATATTTCATTTATCCCTGTAATTAGACAAGAAAGCATAATATAGCTCTACTCATGGGTACACATACCAGTGTATAAGATTTTTAGAAGTTTACTTTTTAAAAATAAAAGCAAAATGTAAGATCTTAAGAGTTATGATCATTAACTCTACCAGATATGGAGATTTGCTGTTAACTATTCTGTATTGTTACATTTTTTTAATTCTGCATTGTTGCCAGGTGTAGTGGCTCACACCTGTAATCCCAGCACTTTGGGAGGCCGAGGCGGGCGGATCACCTGAGGTCGCGAGTTCAAGACCAGCCTGACCAACATGGAGAAACCCTGTCTCTACTAAAAATACAAAATTAGCCGGGCATGGTGGCACATGCCTGTAATCCCAGCTACTTGGGAGGCTGAGGCAGGAGGATCGCTTGAACCCAGGAGGTGGAGGTTGTGGTGAGCTGAGATAGCACCATTGCACTCCAGCCTGGGCAACAAGATTGAAACTCTGTCTAAAAAAAAAAAAAAAGGCTGCATTGTTATATAAAAGAACACTGCCTGGTGAGTTCCCTGACACCATGCCCTGACACTGCTCCCAGCATGTAAGTGAACAATTCTAGGTACCCCTGGACACTACAGTCCATGAAGCAGGACAAGATAAACTCCTGCCAGGCACAGTGACACACCTGTAGTTCCAGCTGCTTGGGAGGTTGAGGTAAGAGGATTGCTTGAGCCAGGAAGTTCAAAGTCAGCTTAGACAACATAGTGAGAACTCATCTCTAAAAAAGTTTTTTTAAATTAAAATTAAAATAGATCATTACAGAGAATACTGTTATAACAGGTGGCAGGTGCCTGTAATCCCAGCTACTTGGGAGGCTGAGGCAGGAGAATCTCTTGAACCCGGGAGGTGGAGGTTGCAGTGAGCCAGGATCACACCACTGCACTCCAGCCTGGGCAACAGAGCAAGACTCCGTCTCAAAAAAAAAAAAAAAAAAAAAAAGGGCATCTGGACTTTTGCTCATGGCCAGTGCTCACAGGTTTCCTGAGCACATGCCAACTGCACATTCCAGGATCCAGGAGAGGGGCCTATGTGAGATCCTCAAGCCCAGCTGTTGGGAATGACCCCAGCAGGATGAGACTCTGGGATATCAACACATTCTATCTTCAAAAGAATGTCTCCAACAGCCAGTTCACCAGGATGTTCCACAGCATTGCCTAAGGCCTCTTAAATTCTTTATTCCAGTGAACCACGTGATTCTGCAGGGCTCCTTTCTGATCATTTATTCATTGGTTCACTGTTGCCCTTGCTTTCTCACTCCAATCTAACAACACAGCCTCCTTCTCCTTCAAGGGGAAAATCATCTGCTGCCATGCTTGTACACTATTCTCAGTCCTGCAGAAGGGGTCCCTCATTTTCAGCCCATACCACCTCCCCAACACCTACTCCAGCATTCTCCATACCTTACCTGGCTTTATTTTCTTATTCTCACTACCTGATAGATGTTCTGTGCTTGTTCATGTTGTCCCTCCTCCACTGGACTATAAACTCTATTGGGCCAGGACTTCATCTCTCTTATTCACTAGAGCAAGCTCGTCCAACCCATGGCCCAGGAGAGCTTTGAATGTGGCCCAACACAAATTTGTAAACTTTCTCTTTTTTTTTTTTAGACAGAGTCTTGCTCTTTCGCCCAGGCTGGAGTGCAGTGGCGCCATCTCGGCTCACTGCAAGCTCCACCTCCCGGGTTCACGCCATTCTCCTGCCTCAGCCTCCCGAGTAGCTGGGACTACAGGCTCCTGCCACCACGCCCGGCTAATTTTTTGTATTTTTAGTAGAGACGGGGTTTCACCGTGTTAGCCAGGATGGTCTCGATCTCCTGACCTCATGATCCGCCCTCCTCGGCCTCCCAAAGTGCTGGGATTATAGGCATGAGCCGCGCCCGGCCCCAAATTTGTAAACTTCCTTAAAACATTATGAGATTTTTTTTTGCAATGTTTTTTAACTCATCAGCTATATCGTTAGTGTATTTTATGTATGGCCTAAGACAATTCTTCTTCCGGTGTGGCCCAGGGAAGCCGAAAGGTTGGACACCCCTGCACTAATGTCTGGCTCATTATAGGTGTATTAAATAAAGAACTCTGGAGTTTGGCCAGGCATGGAGGCTCACGCCTGTAATCCCAACAATTTGGGAGGCCAAGGCGGGAAGATCACTTGAGCCCAGGAGTTCAAGACCATCCTAGGCCACATAGTAAGACCTAATCTCTACAAAAAAATACAAAAGTTAGCAATTTCACACAAGGACACCCAGTTGTTGAGGGGCACAGCCACGAAGTGAAGTCTCCCAAGCCACGTGCCATAGGTTAAATTGGGCAAACTCCCCCGCTGCAGCCACAGGCTGTGATGGGGAACACTCAAGACAATAATGAATTTGCAATTCCTTTTGCAAGCTTCAAATGCCACCACTCCTGGCCATTATTTATTTATTTATTTATTTATTTATTTTGAGATGGAGTCTTGTCTGTCACCCAGGCTGGAGTGGTGTGATCTCTGCTCACTGCAACCTCTGCCTCCCAGGTTCCAGCGATTCTCCTGCCTCAGCCTCCTGAGTAGCTGTGATTACAGGCGCCTGCCACCACGCCCAGCTAATTTTTGAATTTTTAATAGAGACGGGGTTTCACCACGTTGGCCAGGCTGGTCTCGAACTCCTGATCTCAAGTGATCCACCCACCTCAGCCTCTCAAAGTGCTGGGATTACAGGCATGAGCCACCGCGCCCAGCTCCTGGCCATTATTTACTGGGCTTCTCCATGTGCCAGGTGTTTAGCGCATACTGTCACACTAAAGTCTCAGCACAATTCTTCCAAGGAAGAATTTTTTCAGAATTTCCAATTTATAGATGAGGAAATGGGCTCAGAGAGAAGTAATTTGCTCAAGGTCACAGAGCATAAATTCAAATCCTGGTGGTTTGATTAAAGAAAATTAGAAGCTGAAGCATCACTGGAGTAACATCTATACAGTCTCCTAAAGATGAACACTCAGGGTCTCTAATCTACCCCCTCCCCAAATATCCCTGGGGTGAACGTCTCTATATTTGTGCCCTCACAGAGCTGAGTAAGAACATGTTTGGGATATAACCCTAGGGATAGAATCATGAAGTCAAAGGGTCGTGGATACTTTTCTTTGCTGTACTTGAGGCTTCACATCTGCCCCAGGTATGTCTGGCTCCTCCCCCTCCCTTTCCTGGGATAGGCCCATACCACCATGAAAGACCCATACCGCCCCTCCTGGGAGCTGGGACCAGGAGCCCACCACTGTCTGGAGTCACTGAAGAGAAGGAACATCCTCCTAGACTGAGGGTTTAAGACCAAAATAGCCTGTGCCCACTCCCATGTCTGTTCTTGCCTTGTTTATGGAAAGCCAGAAGCTCATGGAATGTGAGGATTGTACAATGACGCCATCAAGAATGTCCAGGCCACATGGCATCAAGGTGAAATCACTCAAGGCTCAAGACCCCCTCTTGGGGCTTGCCTTGGGGCCCTGAATAGTCTGTCCCAGGCCCTGCAGCCAGGTCTGAGTCTTCCAGTCCCTTCCCCTCTCTAGGCCTGTCTCTCCCACAGGTCTGCAGGGAGTGTCAGATGACAATATACTGTGACTTGTAAACCATAAAGTACTAGACATAAGCGAGGAGCTATCATTATATTATAGATCCAAGAGTTGACAATCTCTAGGGTCAGAAATCAGCTGCTTGGGGCTAAGCCCATATAGATAAAATCGGCCCATCCCTCCAAATATAGGCAGTTGGTAAGAGCTAAGTTCGAATCCTGGCTATATTCACAGCTAATTCTGGGACCTTAGGCAACTGACTTTACCTCAGTCTCCTTAACTGTAAAATGGGACTAATAATGGTGTATACCTCATTGCTAAGAGATTACAAGACATGTTGCAACCAATTTGGAAAACAGTTTGCCAGTTCCTCGAAAGGTTAAACAGTTGCCATATGACCCAGCAATTCCACTCTTCCTTATCTATCCAAGAGAAATGTAAACATAAGGCCCCCACACAAAAGCTTGTACCTGAATGGTCAGAGCAGCATTATTCATAATGGCTAAAAACTAGAAACACGCGAATGACCATCACTGATGAATGGAAAAACAAAATCTGGTATAGTCCCAGCTCCCAGGAGGGGCAGTATAGGTCTTTCATGGCGGTGTGGGCCTATCCCAGGAAAGGGAGGGGTGGAGTCAGACATACCTGGGGCAGATGTGAATCCAGAAGCACTGATACATGCTACAATGTGGATGAAACTTGAAAATGTTCAAGAGAAAGAATCCAGACATAAAAGGCCATATATTGTATAATTCCATTTATATGAAATATCCAGAAAAGGGACATCTATAGAAACAGGAAGCAGATTAGTGGTTGCCAGGGACTGGGGGAGCCAGGATGCGGAGTGACTGCTAATTGGTAGGAGTTTCTTTTTGGGGTGATGAAAATGTTCTAAAATTAGAATGTTGTGATGGCTGCACAACTCTGTAAATATGCTAAAAATCATTGTACACTTTAAACGTGAATTTATGGTATGTTTATGTTCCATAAAACTGCTGGGGAAAAGACTACAGGAGAAAGTAGGTAGAGCTTCGGGCGTGCGTGGCTCAGTAAACGCTGGTGATTATTAATAATTAGGTCTCACGAGGTAATTTAAAGCCCCAGAAGCAGTGAGTGCAATGGGACTGCCAGACTTCTGGCTCAGGCTGGGCCTTTAAGCCGCTCTGCGTCCCTGAACTCACTTGGGCCTCCTCAGAGTTCCTCATAAATGAATGGGGCAAACAATCCCTACCACGTCCTTGGGGTCTCGCAGGGAGCGGGGCTCAGGAGGCAGATGAGGAATCCATGGAGGAAGCCCTGGGCCTCCGGCTCGCGCTCTGCAGTAGGTGACAGGCCCCGCTTGGAGCCAACCCGGAAAGGCCCGAGCTCGTCCAGGTGAGTTCTTGTGATTGGCAGCCCGGAGGAGGGCGGGGAGGGCTGCGGTGACGGCTGCCCCGCCCCCTCACTTCGGGCTTGTTGGCGCCCGCCGGGGGAGGGTGGGCGGGGCCCGGGGTCCGCGGCGCCCATTGGGCGTGGGGGGAGAGCTCCGGGGTGGGCCTGGAGCCCCGCCCCCCGGCCTTGCGGCGGCCAATAGGCGCCGCGCGTGGGCGGGGCGTCGGCGGCAGCAGGGCGGCTGAGGTGGCCGCTGGAGCTCAGGCGGCGGGCGCGGCTGGGATGGCGAAGAGCAACGGAGAGAATGGGCCGCGCGCGCCCGCGGCCGGGGAAAGCCTGTCGGGAACCCGGGAGAGCCTGGCCCAGGGCCCCGACGCCGCAACCACCGACGAACTCAGCTCTCTCGGGTCTGACTCGGAGGCCAACGGCTTCGCCGAGCGCCGCATCGACAAGTTCGGCTTCATCGTGGGCTCGCAGGGCGCCGAGGGCGCGTGAGTAGCGCCGGGGGTCGGGACTGAGCGCGCCACCCACGCGAGGGGCCTCGACACGGACGGAGGCGCCCTCGGGACTTGCCGACACGTCCCCCTCCCAGGCAGGGACCACTAATCCCCGTTCCCTCCCCTGCCCCACCCCCACCACCCCTGCCTTCCTAGACCCGCCCCCTTCGCAGTCCTACTTCCGACCCAGGGGGCGGACGGGCCCACACCTCCACCCGCCACCTCCACCCTCCGGACAGACTGACCCGCTCCCAGGAAGGACCGACTGTGCCCTCCTTCCAGCCGTGGAACAGAATGACAGACTGCCCCAAACCCACCCCTGCCGCCAAGACCTTAGGGATGATTGTTTCTGCCACCCCGACAGGCTCCCAGATGGCTGGCGCCCCCCTCCATAGACACTCATTCTCCATCTTTCCCCCTCCCACAAACCCACAGACGCCCTTGTCTCCCCGCCTCACTGCCCCCACACCAGGAGACCTCAGACCGACTTCAGGACTGACTGCCCCGCCCCCACCCCTTCCCAGGACAGACTGACCCTTTCCTCGAGGCATACAGACCTCTGGATGGACAGACATTGGTCACCTCCCTCCCCTCAGCTCCATCCTGGGACAGACAGTCCCTTCTCCTCATGGAAGGGTCGGAGAAGGGCCCCCTATCCGCTCATACACAGCTTCCTCCACTGGCACTGGCAACAGGTGGGCAGGTACTCCCCCTTCCCAGCACGTACAGGGCGACAGGGAGCCCCACCACTAGGACAGACCATCAGCTCCAGCAGCCACAGGAGCCAGTAGATGGGCTCTGTGTATGTCCTGTGTATGTATGCGCCTCCTCCCAAGGGCAGATCTTGGGCGTGGGACGGGGGCAGGCAGGGAGACAGCAGGGTCCCTGCTCATATTAGCACCCCCCGATGTCCTATCCCGAGAGCACCCAGACACCCAGCTAGCAGACAGAGAAATGTGGGGCAGTGGAACAGCACCTTGCCTCCAAGCTGGGCCCCATGTTGCCCCACAGAATCCCCCGAGCCCAGGCCTCAGAGATCATGTGTACAGGCTGGCGGTCCCCTTAGGAAAGATGGACTCCATACCCCACTCCCATCCCAGCTGTCCTGTCACGTGAGACCAGTGTTGTGCACAGAACTGACAAGACTCCCTCCTGATGTGTGCTTTCCATCCCAATCACCAGTAGGAGCTCCTGGGGCCCTGCCATGACCCTACTCCAGAGAATATCCTTTCTCCCTTTCTCTGACCAATTGAGATTGTCCAAGGTCACCCCAGACTCTCTCATGACTTATGGAAGCGCTTTAACTGTCTAAGAACCCCTGTCACTTCCGGGATTTTCCCCAGCCCTAAAGCCTCTTATTCACCAGGCCTCCTTCTTCCTTGGAGAAATCCAGGCCCCTCCCCTAAGGGGAGTTCCCTCTCACCCACTGGATCTGTCTCCTCCAGTATCTCCCTACTGGCTCACAGCAGGCTAGGTTTAGTCCAGGACTCAGAGAGAGCACCCCTCATTCTGAACCCTCACCCTGACTGATGCTTTGTCACAGTTCCCCAGGGATTCACTTGTGAGAACTTAGTGGGGACCTGGAGTGTTTTGAATTGAGGAGCAGTCACCTGGGATTAGGACCCAGGGAGGTGTGTGGTCTTGAGATCTAGGAAAGGAGTTCCCAGTTGCATTTATGGGACCTTGGAAGGAAGAGCTCAGATTTGTGGGAGAATGCTAGGGCATGAGAGTTCCTACTACATGCTTATCAGGCAATCAACCAGATCTTGGGGTGCAGAGCAATGTGATATATTAGGAAAAGGCCAAACTTAGGAATTACACTTGCTAGCTTTGTGACCTTGGGCAAGATCCTGAATCTCTGAGCCTGTTTACTCACTGTAAAGGGCGACAGTAACACCCACTTCCCAACATTACTCTGGGGGTTAAATGAGTATATGATACGTGAAGGTGCCTGGCACAGCGCTTGTCACAAGTAGCGGCCCAGAAAATGTTAGTTTTCTTTCTTTCCTTCTAAGGGTCTGAGAAATGAAGAGAAAAATGAGGGCATATCTCTGGTATTTGTGGGCAGAGTGAGGCCCCAGTGGAAGCACCTCCCTTTGGCTGTAGTCCCCAACCAGGCAGCCAGACATCTGTCTTTCTTACCCCACAACCACAAACCCGGGATGTGGCTCTGCAGACACCCTCTACATGGCTGCTGTCTGTAGGGCTGGGGCTGAGGTGGGATCCCAGCTCCAGTCCTCTCTCCTTCCCTCACTTTCTGGAGCCTGTCAGTCAACCTAAAATCTCTGGTATCTGAAAGCTTCGATGTTCCCTACTTAATTTATATTGTGGTTTCAAAAAAGCCAAGAGTAAGTCCCTGCCCAAGGCCATAGAGGGGAAGTTATGGAAAGCTTCAGGGTGACCGCCCTGAACCCAGTCTCGTGGTTGAAGGCTAGGAGTCCATGTTCTATGCTAGAGAAGTGAAACGTTAGCCCTCATGGGTACTGTGGAGATGGTGGGGACTCTGACTCCAGATTAAAGGTCCATTTCAGCTACCCTGGGCCAAAGGTTGTCTTAAGACATTTTGGATGTGGAAGTTGCCAGGCCTGGGGGTAAGAAAGCAGGTCACAGGCTACCTTACTGAGGTGACTATTAGCTACATGGCATGAGTAGATTAAAAAAACCATAGACTGCACTGTAAGGGATCTTTTTTTTTTGAGACGGAGTCTCGCTCTGTCACCCAGGCTGGAGTGCAGTGGCGCAGTCTCAACTCACTGCAACATCTGCCTCCCGGGTTCAAGTGATTCTCCTGTCTCAGCCTCCTGAGTAGCTGGGAGGCAGAGATTGCACCCATCACCACACCTGGCTAATTTTTCATATTTTTAGTAGAGATGGAGTTTCACCATGTTGGCCAGGCTGGTCTTGAACTCCTGACCTCAGGCGATCCACCTGCCTCAGCCTCCCGAAGTGCTGGGTTTACAGGCATGAGCCACCATGCCTGGCCTGTAAGGGATCTTAATAGATTGACCAGCTCAGCCCTTACTTACATAGATGAGGAAACTGAGGCCCAGAGAGAAGAGTAACTTTCTTAAGATCACAGCATATTAGTGGCAGAACTAGGACTTGGACTTAGGGTTTCTGACTCCCAGGTCAGTACAGTTTCCACTGCCTTCACCATCCATAAATATGGCCTTTCGTCCCTGCAGGATATCAGGTGTCAGACAGGTAGAACAGAAGTGTCTTAGCAGTCACCTGCCTGCTCTTACCTTCCCTGACTTAGCTCAGCACTTTCGACTCTCTCAGCAGTATATGAGGCTAATAGAAGTGGCCCAGAAGGATAAGAATATGTTGTCATTACCAGTTCATTAGACTGATTAGCTTCAGGACTGGGAAGAGGCTCATTCACCTTTTTCTCCTCAGGCCTGCGGTGGAGTAATTAATACTTATTTGCGGGGAGACATTTCAAGTCAGGAAGCTGAAAGTGGCAGGGCATGGTGGCTCACGCCTATAATCCCAGCACTTTGGGAGGCTGAGGCAGGTGGATTCCTTGAGTTCAGGAATTCGAGACCAGCCTGGGCAACATGGTGAAACTCCATCTCTACAAGAAAATACAAAAAATTAGCTGGGCATTGTGGTGGGCACCTGTAATCCCAGCTACTTGGGAGGCTGAGAGGTGGGAGGATCTCTTGAGCCCAGGAGGTGGAGGTTGCAGTAAGCCAAGATGGTGCCACTGTGCTCCACCCAGCTCTTTCTTGAGACAGAACATGACCCTGTCTCAAAAAAAAAAAAAAAAGACTAGGTGCTGTGCCTCACGCCTGTAATTCCAGCACTTTGGGAGGCTGAGGCAGGCGATCGCTTGAGCCCAGGAGTTCAAGACCAGCCTGGCCAACATGGTGAAACCCCATCTCTACAAAAAATACAAAAATTAGTTGGGTGTGGTGTCATGCACCTATAGTCCTAGCCACTTGGGAGGCTGAGGTAGGAAGACTGCTTGAGCCCAGGGAGGTGGAGGTTACCGTGAGCTGAAATCACGCCACTACACTCCAGCCTGGGAGACCTTGCCTAAAAAAAAAAAAAAAAAAAAAAAAAAAAAAGCTGAAAGTGACCTTAGAGATGGCCATCAGCATACAGATGGATAAACTGGAGGCCTGTGAGAAACCTGGAATTCCTGATTCCCAGTCCTAGGCCTTTCCATTTCTTCACCTTGTCTGTCTTTTGAGCCTACTCCGCAGGGAACCTTTAGTGAGACTGAGATGGTCCCTGTCTGTTTTTGAGTAGTAGCCACAGACAAGAAAGCAGCTTGCCAGTAAATGATCCTGTGGGTGGCATAGGCATAGATCAGAGTGCCGACAGCATTAGTTCTTCTGGCTTGGCTGGAGACCGAGTGGGGCATTGAAGCCCAGGAAGGGCCGGGTGCAGTGGTTCACCGCCGTAATCCCAGCACTTTAGGAGGCCGAGGTGGGCAGATCATTTGAGGTCAGGAGTTTGAGACCAGCCTGGCCAACATGGTGAAACCCCGTCTCTACTAAAAATACAAAAATTAGCCAGGCGGTAGTGGCTCACGCCCATAATCCCAGCTGCTCAGGAGGCTGAGACAGGAGAATCGCTTGAGCTTGGGAGGCGGAGGTTGTAATGAGTTGAGGTCATGCCACTGTACTCCAGTCTGGGTGAGACAGACCGTGTCTCAAAGAAAAAAAAAAAAAAAAAGGCCCAGGACCAGTTGAGGAAAAAGATGTTTTCAGCAGGGAAGGGTGGGAGGAGTGATGATACCCCTCCTGTCACTTTGGAGCAGGAAGAACAGACTTGTTTGGTGTCCCTTCTGTAGCATAGAGGAAGTGGTTGGGAAGGGAAAGAAGGATACAAGTTTTATACCAGGTCTCCTGGCCCGAGGGAGGTGACCTGAGAGAGGTGGTCCCTGACCTTCTTCTCCTTTTCCTATGTGATTGTCAGGTCTGGCCTCCTGAGGCTGAGA
Organism: Homo sapiens; assembly: GCF_000001405.40. Classification (NCBI taxonomy): domain Eukaryota; kingdom Metazoa; phylum Chordata; class Mammalia; order Primates; family Hominidae; genus Homo; species Homo sapiens. The sequence goes on along the minus strand of NC_000022.11, from coordinate 30,321,715 downwards.
GCTTCCCATCCAGCCTCAGTCCGCCCAGTCTGCAGGCCAAATGAGGTGAGGAGCTATGCTCTTTGGGATCCCATGGGTGTTGGCTTCCTGTTATGGGAGCAAGGGATCTGAGCTGGGCCCAGGGAGAAACATCTGGAATAGCAGTATTGCCTTCTTTAGTTCTCATTCCCTGGGCCTTTCATTACTAGCCAACTTTGGAAATCATAGAACTGGCTTAATTGGCATCCCTATAGTTTATTGTGTGCCAGTTTTTATTGGAGTGGGGTCAGGGCCCTCCTGGCAGGCCAGATTCTGACTCCTTGCCTTATTCTCTAGTTAGTAAACTCAGAGCATCTACTTTTCTTGAGCTGTTACAGATCCCAGGAGAGCATGGAGCTGGCATTGGGGTGGTCCCTGGGTGGCCCATCTGGAAGGAGGCATTTGTACATATGGGGCCCTGGGCTGTGACTCTAGACTGCAGGCCCTCCCATTTTCTCTCATTTTTCCCTTCTTAGCCTCGAAGGAATATCCGGTTTGGTGGCCCTGTGAGTGTTAGGTCCTCAGACAAGACCTGACTTGGTAAAGGAGGGAGCCGGCACACCAGCTGCTACCCTGGGAAGGTGCCTGAGTGTCCGCCTGCTGGGAAACTCTAAGCTGTGGGAAAGAGATAAGATGGTAGCACCTACTTGATGTTTTGTCCTACCAGCATCTGGGCCTGAAACAGGACCTCCCAAGGGGCAGTGAGGCCTGGCTGTGGCCCAGCCACCCAATCTGTTTATATCGAGGTGGGCAAGAGAAGGTACTGTGTGCTCCCTCCTCACACAAGCGCCAGAATCTGGCTGGCTGTGTGATCTTGGACATGTTGCTTCACTTCTCTGAGCCTCAGTTTCTCACCTGCAGAATGGTTATGATAACACTGACTTTGCAGGATCATTCTGAGGTTTAAATGAACTAATAATACAGGGTAGGTGCTCAGTGAATGTTCTTCTCCCTCTTAAAGACTGGAGCAGCTCGTGGTTCTATCTTTTCATTTTCTACTTCCCATCTTTGGCTATAATGATGAGTGTCAGTGAGGCCCAGCCCCTGTCGGCAGGAATGAACCCTAACCCATGGTGAATCCTTACTTCCCCTGAGAGGGGTGATTATCCCCATTCTGTGGATGAGCGTACTGAAGACCGAGGAAAAAGTGCCCAAGGTTTGCCAGCTGGTAAATGGCAGAACTGGGACTAGAACCTGTTTCTTGACACTGCATCCAGTAGTGACTACACCTTGCTAAGGTGGCAGCAGGCAGGGTGCCAGGTGCTTACTGTCCCTAAGTCCCTAAGGTCCCTGAGGTCCCCACACCCAGGGCAGGAGTTAGCAGGAATCTGGCTACCTCCCCCTTCCAGTATGGAGGGCAGAGCAGGTCTCAGTACAGGGAAAGGTCATGGCCATCAAGCAGGAGAAAGGCACAGGGAGGAAAATCCTTGGAGAGGTCCTGGAAGCATGGCCAGATCAGGCCTGATTTAGTCCTCCCATAGGCCAGAGTCCGGATTGCATTGGTCTTGACCCCAACATGCTGCATAATGGCCATTTGACTTTGATATCTAGTCTGTGCCTTTTGGAAGAAGTGTTACTTTGTAGATGAGGCAGGGATTATGTTGCTTGTACCGGTGAGGAATCTGAAGGTTGGAGAACTCTTGCTGTTAGTGAACTGTGGAGCCAGACCGGAGAGGGATCCCAGGTCCTCCGACTGTCACCCAGTGCTCCTCTAGCTACATAGCACTGACCATTCTCTTCCCCTTTCTCTTCCTCAGTCGAGGTAATTGAGCCTACAGGCTCAGGATGCATTGCCGACTAGAGCAGAGCCCTGCCATCATCCATCCGTTGTCCTAGCTGATCACTTTATCCTGCAGACAGTACACTTGAGGGGTAGGAGGCCTCCTTTAACTGATTAGTCTGCCCCTGGTAAATCTATTGCCGCAATCCTGGGCCCAGAGACCCTCTCCAGCAGGGAGAACACTGTACTGGCCACCCCACTGGCAAGTCAATGCTCCTGATACTTAACCAGCTTAGAAGCCCCCACCTAGGATTTCAGGGCAGCTGCCAACTTTGGCTTTCTCTGTCTCATCCTTCCATTTCCCGTCTCTCCTCCCCCTACCCTACCCTACTCCATTCTGTGCCCTGTCCAGGTCTTCAGAGGCTGCCATAGCTTAGCACTCAACACCTCTTCAGGTAGAGAAATACTCAGCAGACCCAGCAGCCTGGGAGAGCAAACCAAGGCTTACTTTTGCCAGCTTATCCATCTTAGCAGTGAGCTTATTTACCACACATTTATTGAGCACCTACTCTGTCAGACCCTGTGATTTGGACAAGAGATATAGAACTGAACAAGATGTCTGTGTTTTATTGCCCTCAAGGCACTCACAGACTTGCTGAAAAATAGAACCACAGACAAATCTTTCCAGTGTTGAGTGATGAAGGCTGTCATTGAGGCATGCAGTTGCTCTGGGAGTACAGAGGAAAAAGCAGCCAGCCCCACCTGCAGGAGCCTAGAAAGTAGTAGCATTTGATCCAGGCTTCAGAAGAGGCAAAGCAGGGCAGTCCATTGGATGAGAGGGGGCCCATGTGCAAAGTCCCTCCCAAAAGCAGTCGTTTGAGCATGTGTGGCAAGAGCAGAGATGACAAGAAGAACGGGAGGCAGTAGGATGATACGACAAGAAGAACGGGAGGCAGTAGAATGATACGAAGCAAGGGTAGGTTAGGGAAATGGGTTGGGCAGTCTCAGTCTAGCCTTGAATGTCAGGCTGAGGCCTCTTGTGTTGCATAAAAGTTAGTCCAGGAAATGGGTTGGGCGGTCTGAGTCCAGCCTTGAATGTCAGGCTGAGGCCTCCTGTGTTGCATAAAAGTTAGTCCAGGTCTGGCATGGAAGACGGCATAAAGAGGAGCTGGATTGCAGGCAGTGAGACCTGTTGGGAGAATCAAGGATGGCCTAAAAGGGCTGTGGTGAGACCTGGAAGAGGTCTGGAGCAGTGAGGATAAAGAGGCTGGCAAATCATTAGTGCTTGGTTCATGACTGCCATGTGGGCTGATGGAGAGGTAGGAAGGCTCTGGACTAGCTGAAGTGGCTTTGGCCTCTTACAGAGTCCATTCTGGAGCCCTCTGGCTACAGGGAAGCAAGGCCAGCTGTGGCCTTCCTCTGAAGAGGGCAGTGGGCTGCTGTGACTCTGCGTTGTCACAGCTCTGGGCTCCCCAAGGTGCCTGGTATGGCTGGCTTGCCCCGGGCACATCAAGGGGTTCTTTGTCTCCTTCCAGCAGGAGAGTGGGTTGGCTGACCTGGTTGGGGAAGGAATAGGATAAGCGGTGTTGAGCTTCCTGGTCTCTGCCTGGCAGACATATTGGATGATAAGGAAGGATGCAAGGAGAACCAGAAGAGAGGACTGGGGCCTGAGGACATGGAAAACCTACCTTAGGGTGGTATGGCAACTGGGAAGGGTGGGTTTGGGCCTTTGGACACAGCATACACTGATCAAGGGGAGGCACTTGGCAACTGGAGGCTTGTTTGACCTCACCTAGCACCTTTATTCTGTTCTTAGAGGTGGTGCCTTGGCTGGGACAAAACCTGTGAGAAGGCAAACCCCTCAGCACTTACAAGGGGCACCACCAGTGGCATCCGGAGATGAGAGATTCTGGCTGGAAATGTGGATTTTAGGCTAGTGTTTGAGAAAGGGCTCTGAACCAGGCACAGGGTCAGAGTGTCAGTGATGGCTCCACCACTGACCTTTGTAATATGTGACTTAGGCACATCCCTCACCCAACCATGGGGCTAATGCTTCCAGTTTTTTTCACCCAGCACTTACTATATGTGTAGCCCTGTGCTAGGCTCAGGATATAGACCTGATCTTGCCCTCACAGGGAAATCAGACATTAAACAAGTAGTTTCAACCAGTCTGGTCAACATAGTGAGACCCTGTCTCTAAAAAATAAATTAGCTGGGCATGGTGGCACGTGCCGGTAGTCCTAGCTACTACAGAGGCTGAGGCTGAGCCTGGGAGTTTGAGGCTGCAGTGAGCTGTGATTGTGCCACTGCACTCCAGCCTGGGTGACAGAGCGAGACCCCATTTCTAAAAAAAATTTTAAAAAGAGAAAGAAGTTACCAGGTGTGGTTGTATACAAAGGATTGTGAGGATCAAATGAGATAATTGGATTAGGAGCATAGTGTAAACAAATACTGCTGAACGGAGATCTGGAGACCTTAACCCTATGCCTTACTGAGCCACTAACTAGCTGTGTGACCTTGAGAAAGTTGCTTAATCTTGGTTTTGTTTTGTTTTGTTTTGTTTTTTTGAGATGGAGTTTTGCTCTTTTGCGCAGGCTGGAGTGAAATGGCACAATTGATCTTGGCTCACTGCAACCTCTGCCTTCCGGTTCAAGCGATTCTCATGCCTCAGCCTCCCGAGTAGCTGGGGTTTTAGGTGCCCACCACCATGCCCGGCTAATTTTTGCATTTTTAGTAGAGACAGGGTTTTGCCATGTTGGCCAGGTTGGTCTCAAACTCCTGACCTCAGGTGATCCACCCACCTTGGCCTTCCAAAATGCTGGGATTACAGGCATGAGCCACCATGCCGGTCAAAAGTTGCTTAATCTTTTTAACCTCGGTTTTCCCCACATAAAAACTACGCAGTTTGTATGTGTGTGTGTATGTGTGTTTGTTTTTAAGAGACAGGGTCTGGCTCTGTCACCCAGGCTGGAATGCAGTGGTGCAATCACAGCTCACTGCAGCCTCAACCTCCCAGGCACAAGCGATCTTCCCACCTCAGCCTCCTGAGTAGCTGGGATTACAGGCTGAAGCCACCATGCCTGGCTACTTTTTTTACTTTTTGTAGAGACAGAGTCTCACTATGTTGCCCAGGCTGGTTTCAAACTCCTGGGCACAAGCGATCCTCCCTCCTCAGCCTCCCAAAGTGCTTACGTTATAGGCATGAGCCACTGTGCCAGCCAACTAAGGCAGCTTTAGTGGGATGGTGTTGAAGACAGCTACATCTGACATCCTGAGACTGACCGTGGAGTATATGAAAAGTGTTTTGAAGCCTGAGTAACATAGGGAGACCCCATCTCTACATCCCATAATTTAAAAATTAGCTGGGCATAGTGGTGCGCACCTGTTGTCCCAGCTACTTGGGAGGCTGAGGTAGGAGGATCACTTGAGCCTGGGAAATCAAGGCTACAGTGAGCCATTATTGCACTACTGCACTCCAGCCTGGGCAATGGAGACCCTATCTCAAAAAAAAAAAAACAAAAACAAAAACAGTGCTTTGAGAAGTTCTCTATGTGGTACCACGCAAGTTCAGGGGAGTCACCATGGCACATGCCACAGAAACCACTGCTCCCAGCATGCTCTGTTCCTCTTGTGAGAGGACATCTCTGATTGATTGATTGAGACAGGGTCTTACTTTTTTGCCCAGCTTGGTCTTAAACTCCTGGCTTCAAGTGATCTTCCTGCCTCTGCCTCCCAAAGTGCTGGAATTAGAGGCATGAACTACCATACCAGGCTGGACTTCTCTTTGTGTGCAGGATCGGTGTCCCTCAGGACTTTGGGAATGTAATCAAATCAAGGGATGCTTTGATTTATCTAGCTCTTTAGTCTGCAAAGTGCTTTCATTTCCATTGCCTCTCAGTAACCCTTATAGGAGCAATGGGAAATTGGTAGGCTATTATTTTACCCTGTTTCCTGATAAGGAAACCAAGGGTGAGCAAGTGATGGAACAGGGCCTGGCACCCAGCATTCCTCCTTCCTAATTTCCCATCTTACCAAAGTTGGTGACCACTGTGTGGCCTCTCCTCCTCCCCTTCCTGTCCCAGTCTTAGGACTTCAGCCCAGCCCCAAGTGTCTGCACTTCTCCTACCAGGCTTTTCAGGTTGTTTTTGTTGCTAAGTTGTCATGATGGATGACACAATTCCTGTCCCAGGACTCCACACACAGCTCCTCATATGTACCCCAAGACAAGGCAGGAGTAGCTGGGTCGTGAGTGACCCAGTGAAGGAGCATAAGTTCGGAGAACTCCTGTCCCTACTCAGTGCTTTGGGCCTTGGACACTGTGAGTCCAGAAGCGATCTTCCGCGGCCAGCCACTTTTGGAGAATGCTGCTGCTTTCCCTTTCATCTTCGCTTGGCTTCACAAAGAAAGAGAACCTAGGCTGGGCACTGTGGCTCATGCCTATAATCCCAGTACTCTGGGAGGCCAAGGTGGACAGATCACTTCAGTCCAGGAGTTCAAGACCAGCCTGGGCAACATAGCGAAACTGTATCTCTACTAAAAATACAAAAAAATTAGCTGGGTGTGGCGGTGGCATTGGGAGCAGGAGTATTGTTAGGATTAAGGGAGATGTTGTTGGTAAAGCACCCAGCACAGTGTCTGTCACAAAGTAAGGGCTCTGTGGAACATGGCGGCTCTCACAATTCGAGTGTAAATTACCCTCTGAGATTTTACCTCAGACATTTAGCATAATGGTAAGGGAGCAATGCAGCTTTGGGGTGAAAATCTGGCTTCCCTCACGTGCTCTTCCAACCTACCCCACGACCGTGGAGGTTAGGCAGGAGCCAGTCCCACTCAGCTTGTGGTCTGGAGCTTCCTGGCCTGCCAGGGCAGGTTGGGAATCCCCCCATGAGTTCCTCGCTGAGTCATCTGGAGCAGGGCTGTGATCTGAGGGCCTGACCTTCCCTTTCCTTGGTCTGTAAAGATAAGCAGAAGTAAGAGCAAAGGTGGGCATCCCGAAAGATTCCACTCAAGGCTTGCAACCAGAGTGCTGCCCGGGGCCTCTGTCCTCCTGGGTGGTGGTAGTCACTTGGGGAAGGAGTCTGAGTTTGCTTAATAATTACCACCACCCTCCTCTGTGGGTTTTTTGTGGGTTTTTTGTGTTTTTTTGGTGGGTTTTTTTTTTTTTTTTGAGTCAGGGTCTCCCTCTCTCACCCAGGCTGGAGTGCAGTGGCACAATTATGGCTCACTGCAGCCTTGAACTCCTGGGCTCAAGCAATCTTCCACCTCAGCCTCCTGAGTAGCTACGACTACAGACATGCAGCACTATGCCTGGCTAATTTTTAAAACAATTTTGTAGAGACAGGGTCTCACTCTCTTGCCCAGGCTGGTCTCAAACTCCTGGCCTCAAGCAATCCTCTGGCCTCTGCCTCCCAAAATGTTGGGATTATAGGCGTGAGCTACTGTGCCTGGCACCATGTAGACTTTCATCCTGAGCTTCCTGTTCTGCTTCTGAGTGACCCCCTCCATCCTCCCAGGATAGTCACAGTAATGCCATTTCACAGAGGAGCCTGTATGGTGGACGAGGCTTTCACCTACATCACCTCGTTTAATTCTGTGAGAGTATTTATCATCATAGTCCCCATTTTAAGAAGCAGAAACCAAGTCCCAGAGAGGCAAAGTGACTTGCCAAGCATCACACAGCTTGTGCCTCTGAGTCCACTGAGCTCCAAGCTCCTCAGGAGCAAGGCTGTGTATACCCAGCCTACTGGACAGCACTTGGTGGTGGAGTTGAGTGACAGAGGGAGAGATGAGCAGGGCCCGGATTCACTTTCCAGTGCCATCCCCTGCTTGACTTGGACTTTGGCCAGTTATTGTCTTTCTGAAGAACCTGAGTTTCCTTATTCACAAAAGGGAGTTGATAATTAGAGGATTTATCTCATGGGCTTGTCAGGATTAAATGAAATAATGTAAGTTAAGTGCTGAACACAGTGTCTGGTGCATAGCAAGCGTCTGTTGTTATAACAGACATTCAGTTAAGTTAATTGAATATTAGAATTGTAATGTTATAAAATGCCATCATCAAGCAGATCTGTGCTCAGCCCTGTGCTGGGCTTTGAGGAAGATCTAGAGCTGGTACCAGGCCAGAGAGGGAATGCTCTTTATCAAGTTCTTACTATGCTTTACCCACCTGATATCAAGGTAGAGGAGCATATTCCCTTTTCACTGCTGACAACACTTAATGAAATTCAGAGTGTCTGAGGTCACCAAGCTCATGAATCACTCAACACACACATTTGTTGGCCAGGCACGGTGGCTCACGCCTGTAATCCCTACACTTTGGGAGGCTGAGGTGGGTGGATCATGAGGTCAGGAGATCGAGACCATCCTGGCCAACATGGTGAAACCCCGTCTCTGCTAAAAAAAAAAAAAAAAAAAAAAAAAAAAAAAATTAGCTGGCCGTGGTGGCGCACACCTGTAGTCCCAGCTACTCAGGAGGCTGAGGCAGGAGAATAGCTTGAACCCGGGAGGCGGAGGTTGCAGTGAGTCGAGATTGCGCCACTGCACTCCAGCCTGGGCGACAGAGCAAGACTCCGTCTCAAAACAACAATAACAACACACACACACACACACACACACACACACACACACACACACACATTTATTGAGCACCAGCTAGGTATCAGGCTTGGGACACACTGCAGAGAATGAGGCCAAGAGAGCCCCTGCCCTCCAGGAACGCGCCTTCTCATGAAATGCTGCCTCTGCAGAACAGCCCTTAGGTGGAGAAGCTCCACCTGTCCCACTGGACTGCTCACATTCCCCAAACAAGCCATTCCCTCTCCTATTAACTAGCATTTGAACATACTGAGTGTTTTGCCTGGTGTGTTCTTTCCCCTTTCTCAGCCTAGCTACTTCCTGTCACCCTTCAAACCCCAATTCAAAAGTCAATTCCCCTTTAAAGCTTTCTCTAAACAGCCCGTCCTCACCCTGGGGTCTTTTTGCAGTCTCCTAGCCCCTTCTACATGCTCCTGTGATGGCACTTCTTCTCTGTGTGCTAGTTATTTACCTACCTGTTTGTTGATGCCAGATTGACCTCCTCAAGGGCAGGGACCACATTTTATTCATCTTTGTAGATTCAGGGCCTGGAACACAGGCTCTAGAAAGGTGTGCATGGAATATAATGAGGGCCTGATTGTGTTCTGTCCCTGGAGTAGTTAGGAGAGGCTTTGTAGAGATGAGAAGGAGTTTGGAATGATGCTTCCCAAGATGATGGCACCAAAATTGAATGGGGGTTGAAGGAAGATGGCTCAGGGGTAGGGGCCTATAGAGATGGGACTAGGGGAGAAAGGGATGTGCAGGGGAACAGGAGGGCCTTGAGAGCCAGGGCCTGAAGTTTCTTTGTTTTTTGTGTTGTTTTTGTTGTTGTTGTTGTTATTGTTCTTTGTTTTCTGTTTGTTTTGTTTGTTTTGAGAAAAGGTCTTGCCCTGTGACCCAGTGGCCCAGTCTAGGGTGCAGTGGCACAATCATGGTTCACTGCAGCTTCAAACTCCTGAGCTCAAGTGATCCTCCCACTTCAGTCTCCCGAGCAGCTGGGATGACAGGGCGTGTGCCGTAATGCCCAGCTACAGGGTCTGAGGTTTCTGTTGGATAATGAGGGCAGTAGGGAGCCATGGACGAGTCTGGGCAGAGGAGGGGCCTTATATAAACAGTGAGTCAAGACTAATTTTGGTAAGATCTATCAATGAGATCTAGCAGTTTGGTAAGGATGAGTCAGGGTGGCCCCTGGGTGCCTGCAGTGAGATTGTGATCCAAGGACTCAGTCACCAGCAAGGGAATTTCAAGCAGCACTCTGCCTGGTAGGAGCTGGGATTTGGAGAAAAGATGTCTTCTGTTGAGAATAGTCTCAGGCGGCACTCAGTCACTAATACCCGTAATCCTAACACTTTGGGAGGCTGATGCAGGCAGATCACTTGAGCCCAGGAGTTTGAGACTAGCCTGGGCAACACGGTGAAACCTTGTCTCTACAAAAAATGCAAAACTTAGTGGGGCATGGTAGCATGAGCCTATGGTCCCAGCTACTCGAGAGGCTGAGGTGGGAGGATGGCTTAAGCCCAGGAGGCGGAGGCTGCAGTGAGCCGAGATCATGCCACTGCACTCCATCTTGGGCGACAGAGCAAGACCCTATCTAATACCTTTCTGCAGTTGTCAGGGAGAGCTGCTTGGGAGTTTCTCTGTGGTCTACGCCCTTCCCTAGATGAGTGCATCAGAGGAAGGTAGATACCTTGGTTTTTCTTTTTGGGAGCCAGCAAGGCTAGTGCTAAAGGAACCATTTCTCACACTGAGTAGGGTGGAGCTGAGCAGAGTAGAGAGCTGGGCAGAGGTCCAGGGCACCAAGGCCAGTGAAGGGTGGAGAGAACCTGTTTACCATTGTGCACTGACCCAGCACTAGAAGGAGCAGAGCCAGGGAATTCCTCATGGGAAAGACAGGCAGCCCCAGAATTAGCCTGCATTGGGAAGGAGGGAGAGTGAAGCAAGCCAGACTCTCTCACTCAGACAGGGAGCCTGGACACTGCCAGCCGGCTCCTAGGCAGGGGTGGCCGGGCCCCAGAAGGGAGTGCCAGGCTGCTGCAGACCCTCTTCCTTTTTCCTACCAACTCACAGAGTGTGTGGCGTCAGGCAGACCGCTTACCTTCTGGGGAGGGGATGGCCTCACTGCATGATCTCATAGGTTTCCCAGTCCTGACAGCCATTTGCACACCACCAGCCTACCCTCTCCTGCCTTTGGTTTCTCATCATCACTTCTTATGGAACTGGTCTAAAAGCCATTTATACCTTCATTCATTACCACCTCTTAGGGTAGTGAACTCCAGAGGTTGTTGCCTAGTATGCAAAACAGGTCAGCCTTTTGTTTGTCCTCACTTCACTTTCAGGCTCTGGGTGGAGAGGGAAACCCTCTGGATCGGTGATTGGCCATGCTCCCCCTGCACATCCACTTCCCAATTTTCCACACTTTGGTGGGACTTCCTCCAACTGCCTCCTCTCCATCCTGGAGACCCAAGTGTGAGGGGTTTTTTTCACGTTATTCACCCCTGCCTTTCTCGGCACAGAGGGTGATAAGAAGAGGGAAGGGAATGTGACAGGGATTGAAGCCATGGTATGAGCGGGGGACTTTATATGTCTTGTATAGTTTAGTGCTCAGGTGGCAGCCTCTACTTCCAGGCTATGTAACCTTGGGCATATTACTCCACTGTGCTGAATCTTAGTGTTCTTGTCTATTAAATGGAGATAATTAAAGCTATTTCCTTGGGGGATTGTGTGCCTGTGTAGTGCTTGGCAGAGCTAGTACACGGCCAGCGCATGAAAGTGTCAGCTCTTAATTGCCTCACATCATGTTTACCAATGTTCTCTGAGGAGGTGGCATTCCTCCTGGGTTACAGATGAGGAACTGGAAGCTCAGAGAGCAAAGCAGCCAGCCCTGTTTCACACAGCTGTAAAGCGGTAGAGCTTGGATCAGCGGCCAGGAGTTAGAATTTGTTTACCATTGAGCAAATTAAGTAATCTCTCAGAGCCTCAATTGCTTCATGAGTAAAATGGTGGTAATCATGCCCTGCCTTCCTCAAAGGCCTGTGTATGGGGACCAGTCAGATGAGAAAAGAGATGTGAAATTGCTAGTTAAGCCGCAAATACCAGTCACCTAATAGCTACCATTTGCTGGCCACCCACCAGGCTGGGCCCTTGTACACATTTATTCCTCATTGCAGCCCTATAAGAGATGAGGTGTGCGTTATGACCCCACTGAAAGATGAAGAAGTTGTCACTTTTTGCACATGGTCTCCCAGTTAGTAGATGGCAGAACTGGAGTACCTAGCTCAGCTAACTTCAAGTCCCCACTCTATTTATTCTCCCCTACACCCCACCTGGTTTCCCCTATGGGTGAGAGGAGGATCAGTCCTGTGGTCTGTGACCTCAGACTTTCTGCTTAGGGTGTATTTCTCTTTGTTTGGGCTGGTTCAGGGAGTGAGGCTTGGAGGAGGGTTTAGACGGGTTCCTTGGTATCAAGATTTATCTCCCACGACAGGCTAGGATAAGGAGGTGATGAGCATGGACACTGCCCTTGCTGAACCTGCCTAGCCAGAGGTGCTGAGATGTGCTTGGGCAGAAAGCAGATGTCTAGAAGGACAAGGGAAGAGAGAACCCCAGCCCTTGGTCTCAGTAGCCTGGGAAGCAGTCTTGTCCTTCTGAACTTTTGGAAGCCTCAAGCCTCTGGGTTTTGGGAGAACGCTAGGAAACTGGGAACCTACAGAGAATGGGGTCAGCAGAGTGTCACTGCTGCCTTGGACCATGACGTGGCACAGCATGGCTAAGCCTGTTCCAGTCCAGGAGCCTGACAAGATCTGTGATTAGGTGCCACCTTTGTCTCCTCTGAGCCTTTCCTCCTCAGAAGCTGGGGTTGCCAGCAAATGGCAGATTGCCCTGGCCGGGTGCGGTGGCTCATGCCTGTCATCCCAGCACTTTGGGAGGCTGAGGCGGGTGGATCACATAGTCAAGAGATTGAGACCATCCTGGCCAACATGGTGAAACCCCGTCTCTACTAAAAATACAAAAATTAGCTGGGTGTGGTGGTGCCCCAGCTACTTGGGATGCTGAAGCAAGAGAATCACTTAAACCCGGGAGGTGGAGGTTGCAGTGAGCTGAGATCATGCCACTGCACTCCAGCCTGGGCGACAGAGCAAGACTCCGTCTCAAAAAAAAAAAAATGGCAGATTACCCAGGCTTACCATCTGCACCTGAGGTTGTGCTGGCAAACCATCCCATCCAGTGTATTGGTGTCTCTGAGCATTGCTAGGTACGGGCAGGCCACTCACTGGGGCAGTCACAACACTGGAGGAGGGGGTTAGACTGTCTCCAGTGGCTTGGGCGCCAGAGATGGAGCCACACAGAAGCATCTGGAGAAGGGCCTGATTTCCCCACAGCCTTCCCCAGGGAACTGGAAATAGCATATAGGTCACTGTGACAGAGGGGAAGCCCTGGGTCAGCTACTTACTTATTAGCTTTGTGACTTTGTCCAAGTCATACAACCTTTCTGATCAGGCCAAGTCTGTCATGGTCCAAATGGAAATAGTAATTAATCTGTGAGGGCCCCACTTCACTGGGCTATTAGAGGGACACGTACAATTTCTAAGGCAGAAGTAGCTTGTAGCCCTGATGCAGTGCAGATGAAGGTAATGATGTCATGGAGAAAGCCAGGCAGGCAGCTGTTGAACACCTGGGGCGTGTGGTAGGAGTCACAGAAGAAGTTCAAGACCCGGTCCAGCTGGGGAGGGACAGTGCTGAGTAATATGAGCAAGTGGTAATGAAGTGCATATTTCACACTTAATGACTTGACTCATTTGTCAGTTGGTGCTGAAATCAGTTTTAGGGGCTTGTGACCAGCATTTAAAACAATAGAATAGAAAAATAGAAAATCAATCTGGAAATATCAGAGTGCATTAGTACATGTAAGGGCAACTCGTTTCCTAAAATGTATTCTGGTTGTGTGTGTGTATGTGTGTTGTGTTTGTGTGGGTCTCAGTTTAAAAAGCATGAGACATGGTGTTCTGAGCCAGGATGAAGATCTTCAGGTTGGAGGACATTTTACGAGATCTAGGCAGGCAGGCAGGCAGGCATGCAGGCATGCAGGCATGCAGGCAGGCAGGCATGCAGGCATGCAGGCATGCAGGCTGTGTGGAGGCTGAGGGCTTGGCCTGTGGAGGCAGAGAAGTGTAGTACAAGGGTCAAGAGCATGAGCTGTAGAGTCAGTCAGGCCTGGGTTTGAGTCCCAGCTCTGCCACTTATAGCTACATGGTCTTAAAACACTCTTAACATTACTAAGCCTTGGATTCTACTTTAAAATGGGGAGAATGGGCCGGGCGCTGTGGCTCACGCCTGTAATCCCAACACTTCAGGAGGCCGAGGCGGGTGGATCGCCTGAGGTCAGGAGTTCAAGACCAGCCTGGCCAACATAGTGAAACCCTGTCTCTACTAAAAATGCAAAAAATTAGCTGGGTGTGGTGGTGGGCGCCTGTAATCCCAGCTACTCGGGAGGCTGAGGCACGAGAATCACTTAAACCCGGAAGGCGGACGTTGCAGTGAGCCGAGATCGCGCCATTGCACTCCAGCCTGGGCAACAAGCGCAAAACTCCGTCTCAAAAAAATAAAATAAAAAGGGGAGAATGATGTTATAGTAGGGTTATTACAAAAGGTACATGTGATAAAGGTATGTGAAGCATTGAGAAGAAAATTGTAAGTAGTAAATAATCTACGAATGGTAACTACTGTTGCTGATATTATTATTGTTGTAGTGATGGTTTTTAATGTAATATTGGGCTCTGAAGGGTTACTGTCACTTGGAGAAGGGAGAAGAAAGGGCATTCAGTTAGGGATGAGTGGATGGTGAGGGATAAACATGTGTGTGCCTGGTATGGGAGAATTGTATGGCCTCAAAAGCGGTGTTGAGATTACGGTGGAAGTTACTAGGACAATTTTGGCATAAGGTGGGGAAGAAAGCTTTAGCAGTGGAAACTGTTTAACAATAGAGTGACTTCACCTGGAGGTAAGGAAGGCCCATCCCTGGAGGAGTTCCAGCAGTGGCTGAGCCAAAAGAAACTGGTCTCACTTGTCTCTTTTGGCTTCAGAGACTCCCTCAGTCTACCTTAAGGAAGGAGGGGTTTTCTGGAGGATGAGTGAGGCCGCCAGATTTGCGACATCCCCCATGGGCCATTTGTGGTCCCTTATACTGGGCCAGCTTCTCTCTCACTAGCAATTGGTTCCTGCCCTCTCCACTGTCAGGAGGAAGCCTCCTCAGGGCTTCTACACTGTCATACTATTTTCAGGGACCCCTCTGGCCCCAGCTTCATCCCACAGCTCCTCTGTGGGCCTCCTTAGAGGGTCAAATTCATAAGATAGACTGTACAAGCATATAGCGAAACTGAGGATCAGAGAAGAAAGGGGACTTGCCTAATGTAGAAAGGATTTCTATATCAGACAGCAGTTGGATCAGATGTTTTCTAAGATCCTGACTGAGTTAATTGAAGGATATGTGACTCTTCTGATTTAACAACAAAAAAAATAGATAGCCTGCAATGTTTCAGGAGTATATCCTGTGCCTAGAGACATCTACCTGCAGTTAGAGAGCATGTGGTACGCTGAGTGCTGGGTACAGCCAGACCTCCAGTGTCTTCCTTCTCACCATCTCCAGGTAGATTAAACTCCTCTGCTGTTAAAGGAAAAGCCATTCAGATGGCCATATTGCCTTAAAATTTTCCTAATTTAGGATTTAAAAAATCAAAACAGATCTTTCAATTGACATGCACAGTTAAAGTAGTAGTGGGTTTTTTGTTTGTTTCTGAGAAGATCTTGCCAAATCAATGGTGTAGCTTAAAATCAGTGGTGTCTTAGAATCCAGGAAATATGGTAGTTTGTTTTGTACTCTTCTGAAGTTCCGGTTTGAGGTTTGACATTGGGGGTTTGAAACTGCCAAAGCTGTTATCTGGCATCAGTTAAAAGAACTCTGAATTTAACATGTTCCTCTGTGTATCTGCAGTTGGGAGAATGGGCATCTTTGAGTCCCTGCAGTTAGATTTTATCAATAAAGCCAGACTGAGGGTTGAGGTATCAGATAGACATATTTAATCACCTGTGAGTTCTTTGGAAACTGGTAATCTCAAGTGAAAACCTTGCCCTCTGTAAGCCTCAGTTTCTTCATCTGTGCAGTGGGGATATTGGATTAGCCATTATCTACATCCATAACTGCCAGAACTTCCTGTTGACTCAGTTTGGGCACCCTTCTGACTGGTTAACTAGAAGGCTGTTCCTCTGACTTGTTGCATAAGCAGTGCATTATAGGTGGTGGAAGGTATCATGGCCTGGGAGGTGTGGGCCCTTAGTTTCTGCTCCTGGGATGTTTGGGGGTTGCCCGGAGATACATATCCCTTTGTAAATTACCTGACCTTTTGTAAAGGCGTGGTCCTTGCTTTGCTTTTATCAGGAAAGGCAAAGAAAGGAGTAACTCATGCCCTAGTTCTGCCTTTAGGTGGTGAGAGGGGCAGCAGTTCAAGGTGGGGTGCCTTGTATCAGTGCGTTGAGGGGGCCTCCTTTGCCTGGGCTGTAGTCCTTCCTCAGACGTTCAGTTCCAAGGCTACTCTCAGGCCTGGGCACTTCCCCAGATAAAATGCACTGAAGAAGACCTTCCCTTTTGTGTCTTAGAGGCCTCAGCTCTGCCAGGGCCCCTCCCTCTGCTCTTCCAACCAGTAAAAGTCACAGTAGCACATTTCCTTCCGGCAGAGAGAGGATCAGAGACTCAGGCCTGGGCCAAGCCCCAGCCCCACTGTGTCCTGTTCCTGAGAACCTCCTCTGAGCTGCCTCCGACTCTGTGCTCCTTTCTGAGAGGTCAGGCAGCACTGTGTGCTGGCTCTTGGCTGGGACCTGACTTGTATTTGAGTCTGGGTTTTTCCACTGATTGAACGCTAAGCAAGATACCTTTCCTGAGTATCTTACCTCTCTAAGCCTGTTTCCTTGTCTGTCATTAATACCTTATTCTGTTAAGAAAGCAGAAAAAAGCACCTTGGTGCTGAGGTGTTTTCCCCACATTCAGTGCCCACCAGAATATCAACTCCATGAGGGTCAAGACTTTGTTTTAATCATGGGACGGCATCCCCATAACCCATCCAGAGGCCCTCGCCCTAGAACACTGCAACACAGTTGTGCTAGCTGCCCAGTCAGTAGATCTACAGATAGAAGAAGTGGTATTTGATGGGGCTTTGAAGTGTGTGTAGGATTTTGATGGGTGGAGACGATTTGGGAAGCATTCCAGCAAAGTTACTGGCATGAATAAAGGCTGAGAGGGAAAGGGCCAGGGCATAATTGGGGAAACTCTGAGTAATGAGTTTGGCTCAAGTAAAGAGGTGAGCATATTATTTCTGTACTCGTTTGACTAGTTTTTGTGTTCAACTCTGCACCTTGTACACCGGCCCTCTGAAGAGGCTTATTGACTAAGGCAGACCCAGGACAGGAATGCTTTGCTTTGCTGCACAGATGCAGACACTCACTCAGCCTCTGCCTCAGAGAGGTACCATGGGTCCTGGCCACATTAGGGAAGTAGGCACTTGAACCACCTGCTGTCTCTCTAGCTTATGCCTTGAGGCGGTGGATGGGGAGGTGGCGTGTTCCCTCTCATCTGCAATAGGATGGTCCGAGGTAGCAGTCCTGAAGGGAACAGCAGGGATGGTAGGCAGGAAGAATGGAGGTCTGACCAGGCTGGCGGCTGGGAATGAAGCCAGGGCCTTTGCTTCCCTTGGCACCTCTCACAGGCCCTGCCCTCTGCTCCACAGGCTGGAGGAAGTACCCCTGGAGGTGCTGAGGCAGAGGGAGTCCAAGTGGCTGGACATGCTCAACAACTGGGACAAATGGATGGCCAAGAAGCACAAAAAGGTGAGGGGCCTGGCCTCAGGTATTGGGCTGGGAGTTGGCAGCTTGGGGAGGAGGAGGAAGAGGGAGGAACTTCATCAGCTTAGGAAAGCAGAGGCTTCTATAACTGCCAGATGCCTTAGGTGTCCTCCAACTGCCAGTGCAGGACAGAAGCTGGCTTGAAGGCAGGGGGAAGGTTGGGCCCTAACACAATGACTTCAGATTCATGCAGAACATTGTCCTGGAGCTAAACCTCAAAGCCACTCTTAGCCAACAGCCATAACACAGCTTTCTTCTAGCCTTCCCAGGGGAAGGACTTAAGTGCTGCTTACCAACTATCAAGGAGGACTTTACAATACTGCCAGTAACTAGCGTGTATGGAACATTTGCTTTGTGCTTGGCACTTGCCTGGGATAATTCCTTACAGCACCCTAGTGTGAGGTTAGTAATAGTAGTATCCCCACTTTACAGATGACCTGGTCAAGATTTGAACCCAAGCAGTGTACCTTTAGCACCTGCCCTCTTAGCCACCACAGTACGAGGCCTTCTTTACCCTCTAGATTAACTTGATGACTTCCCTCTTGACTCCTGGCCAAAGAAAGAAGAAAGTAACTTCACACTTTAATGATAGTCTTACGAAAATGAAATCACCCAGTAGTCCTTTTCAAGTGAGGCTGTCTTTAGACACTAGCTCTATTGCCCTGTGGGAACATTCTTGCCCACCACTCTTAAGTGTGTGTGTGTGTTGATATCCTTGGCTGCCCTCAGCATGGTGTTACCACCTGGCCTAGAGGAGGCCTGTTCCGAGCCTTACAGCTAGGGTCTCTCTGTACAAGTTCCTAATGCACAGAATGAACCCTATTGCCCACTCTCATCAGCTGACACTCTGGTCTGATCCAGGCTGGCACAGCTGGCTGCCGGGCCTCACAGAAAGCTCAGGACTGACAGTCAGGCATATAGACTTGGGCCCAGCCCCACTCCTTTCCTCTCTTCACACCTGTGGCTAACTGTGGAACTTCTGGGCAAGTCACTTCACCCTCTCAGCCTCAGCTTCTCTGGCCAAATGGGAGTGATAATCCTGTTGCTCCCCACGAAGTGGTGGTAAGTGCTTCGTAGACTGTATCGTAGATGGTGAAGCCCTGTGCTATGAGAGGAGAGGCTCACCCAGACCTGGGCTCTTGCTTGTTATTCTCTATAGCTATCTGTCTATCTATCTGTCTGTCTGTCTGTCTGTCTGTCTGTCTGTCTATCTATCTATCTATCTAACTATTTATTTGAGACAGGGTCTCACTCTGTCACCCAGGCTGTAGTGCAGCAGTATGATCTTGGCTCACTGCAGCCTCGAACTCCTGGAGTTAAGTGATTCTCCCACCTCAGCCTCCCAAGTAGCTGGGACCACAGGCACGTCACCACACGTGGCGAATTTTTGTATTTTTTGTAGAGATGGGGTTTCACCATGTTGCCCAGGCCGGTCTGGAACTCCTGAGCTCAAGCAATCCATGTGCGTTGGCCTCCCAAAGTGCTGGAATTACTGGCATGAGCCACTGCACCCAGCCTATCTCTTTTTTAAAAAACAATGTTAAGACAGTTATTCCTCACCTGCTTCCTGCCTGACTCTGGCTCTGTTTCCCTGCCTCATCATTCCTCTGGCTCTTACTGTGAGCTGTAGCTTGCTCTCCAGCAATCTGTTATGGTGACTGGTGGTTGGCAGGGACCTTCCGTGTTCTTGAAAATCGGGATTCCAGAGGGGAGCTTCGGGGAGCACCTCTCAGCAGAGTAGCAGCTGACACTTCCCCTTTTCTTTCCTGGCACTGTGGTTAGAGCCCAAGACCTGCCCCTGCCCAGCTGAGGCCTCCAGAGGAAGTGCTTCAATCCACCGTGCCCAGAGGCCCTAACTCACTGCTTCTCTCCAGCCCAGAACCATCCACTGGGTGCCCCTCGTGCCATCTCAGCTGTGGCCATACTGGGCCCTGCCCTCGGGGCTCTTCCTGCCTGTGGAGGCTTGAGTTCTCCCTCTGGTCAGGAAGTCGTGGCACAGGAAGTATAATACCTGTTTCAGGAAGTGGGCTCAGACCCAACACTTCTCCTGGACTCATACATAGTCCTGCTGGGAGGGTGCCTTCCTTTCCGGAGACTCCCAGCCATGTCTAGGACAGAATTCTGGTCCTGCAGGGAGGCAGGGCTGGGGCTGGAATGCTGTCTTCCCGCAGGGCCCTGCCCTCACAGAGTTCAGCAGGCAAGGGTGTGTCCTCACTCAGCTTTCATCAGAGACCTCCTTTCCCAAGGCCTGGCCTCAGAGAATGGTAATCCTCTGTGGTTTCTGGGAATACTTTCCCATGCTTTATCCTTACTGGTCCCTACCATCCTCCCTAAGGCAGGCAGGGTAGAGATGACCCCCTCCAGCACCTTTATGCTGAGGAGGCCAGAGTGGGAAAGGCTGGCTGTACTCCCAGCTCTTTGCTGCCCGCGAAGTGTTCCAGGGCTCTCCTGGAGAAGGCCAAATATGATGGGGGCTGTGATGATGTGGGGCTGCCTCTTGCTGAGCTTAGCTCTGTGGGAGAGCCTGAAGGGCCTGTGGCTTTGGGCTAAAGCACATCCCTTTGCCAAAGCCTGCCCAAGTTGGCTTCCTTAAGGAGACCCTTGTCCCATAGCCGCAGGAAACTCTTCCTTGCGTCTAGTGCAGTTCCCTTCAGCCCCCTTCCTCTGCCTCCTTTCTAGGCAGTCCCAGAAGCTCTCACTTGGCACCTGTGACCAGCCACTGCTACTCTTCCCCCACCACCCTCAGCCTGTTTGCCTGGCTCCTTCCTGGTTCTTGACTCTCTCTGACCCTTGGAAAGTTTTCTCTTGTTTGCACTGGTCCCCAGGAAGGCCAGGGCTTCTGTACTCCCTCCTCTGAGAGCTTCCAGCAGGACTGTTGAAGGGGGTTTCTAGGTGAGGGGAAGTTAGGTGTGAGCTGAGGTCCTGGGCTTCTGTGTCAAGCATCCTCCTGGGATGGAGGGGCAGAGAGGAAGCCATTGCTTACTGAACACAGACTGTGTCAGGCCCCACACTAAGCACATTTTCCCTCTCTAATGGACTCCTTTGACAACTCTGCACAGTAGTAGGTATTATTCAGATCTTACAGTTGAGAAGTGGTTGGCTTAAGGTCAGCGCTAGATTCAAACCCACATCCAGATGTTCTTCTCATGCCCCGAGCGCCCATCCCCTTTATCCCAGGTCAGGCTGCTTAGTGCAGGGGTTGAGGGAGTATCATTGGCCATCTCACCCCTCCCCCACCACAGCATTTCACAGGAGTGATGCCTCTGCCTTTGTCCTTGCCCACCTTGACGGGTCAGGGCAACTGCCTTCAGAGCCTCATTCTGGTCCCAAGCCCAGGAGGAGCCCACTGGTGATGTAGAAAGTACACGGGGCTGGGTCCCTCCAGCCTGTGCGGTGCAGCTAGGAGGTAGTAGGGTTTCTGATTGTATGACAAATTTACCCCCACTCTGCTTGTGTGATGAAATTTCCCCCACGAATTTTCCCCTACCCTCAATGCCCCATTTGTAAAAGACATGATCGTTTTGATAGTTTTTCAAATTGAGTTTTGCCAGTGAAAACTTTTCCTGATAAAAACAGCTAGCCGGAATTGAGCACTAGCTCTGGGTCATGAGCTGCCTCAAATACTTCCTCCCTCACTTCTCCCATTCTACGAGTGGCAGAGAAGACCTGGGCCATTTTAGCAAGGGCTGAGATCAGGACTCACACTCAGGCCAGCTGCCTATGCCCCAGGCTGGTGATGTTGGGAGCTCAGGGTCAACGAGAGGAGAGTGGGGATTCTTGACCAAAACAAAGAGGGAGCCATTTGAGCAGCTCCCATCTTCCTTCAGAGTTCTGCTGAGATTTCTCCCCTCTAGGCTGGCGGTATCCTGCCACATGGCTGCTGAAACCAACATACCTGCGTGAAAGTGCCCAGGCCACACCTCTGGGCACATTCTGGTTCATCTCATGAGCTACCTTCCCTGTGGCTGCAGCTGAGCCGCACACAGTGCAATGCCCTCCCTGGTGACAGACTATGGGGTTCACCCAACTTGTAATGGTTCCTTTTCCTTTTTTTTTTTTTTTTTCCTGAAACAGAGTCTCGGTCTGTCGCCCCGGCTGGAGTGCAGTGGCACGATCTTAGCTTACTGCAACCTCCACCTCCTGGGTTCAAGCGATTCTCGTGCCTCAGCCTCCCAAGTAGCTAGGATTACAGGCGCCCACCACCATGCCTGGCTAATTTTTTGTATTTTTAGTAGAGACGGGGTTTCACCATGTTGGCCAGGCTGGTCTCGAACTCCTGACCTTAAGTGATCTGCCCTTCTCGGCTCCCCAGAGTGCTGGGATTACAGGTGTGAGCCAGCGTGCCCGCCTATAGGGTTCCATTTTGATTCAGAAGATAGTTATGAGGGTCTGGAATTCCATGGCAAACCTCAGGAATGCCTGTGTTGTCACCAGGGATGTGGGACCCTGCCATCACCTGGTGTTAGCATATCTAATTGCAGGCACCTCCTCTCCCCGCACCATAGGATTGGCATGGTAGCAACAGTAGGAAAAGTCCTTTTTTTTTTTTTGAGACAGAGTTTTGCTCTTGTCACCCGGCTGGAGGGCAATGGCACGATCTTGGCTCACTGCAACTCTGCTTCCCGGGTTCAAATGATTCTCCTGCCTTAGCCTCCCGAGTCGCTAGGATTACAGGCGCCCGCCACCACACCCAGCTAATTTTTGTATTTTTAGTAGACACGGGGTTTCACCATGTTGGCCAGGCTGGTCTCAAACTCCTGAACTCAGGTGATCCACCCGCCTCGGCCTCCCAAAGTGCTGGGATTACAGGCGTGAGCCACCTTGCCCGGCGAAAGTCCTCTTTTCTCCCTGTTTCTGCTCTTGCTGCTGTGTGCACTGAGGGCCCACCACGCATTGGCAGAGGGGCTGGGCTAGGGGAGCTGCCTGGGTGGCTGCATGGGCTCAGCTGTCCTTTTGATTTTCAGATTCGTCTGCGGTGCCAAAAGGGCATCCCGCCTTCTCTGCGGGGCCGTGCTTGGCAGTACCTGTCAGGAGGCAAGGTGAAGTTACAGCAGAACCCTGGAAAGTTTGACGTAAGTTTCCCTTCCTTTGCCCTGCCCTCCCTTCCGCATCTCTTGGCGTCCTCCCCATGGCGGCAATCCTCCATGTGCTCACCTGAACCTCACAGGATGAGCAGTCCATGAAACCTCCAGTCATGTGCCCAACTGCCCAGGCCCCAGCAGGCCAGACCGGCCCAGTCCTGGGTACCTGTGTCTCCTGGAGGGTCTGTACAACTGAGGCTCCAGCCCTGAGCAGCCCTCAGTGGAATGGCCAGATTTGGTACCCCCTATTCCAGCTCTTTCTCTTGATGACCACTCAGGTTTTGCTTTCCTGGGCTCAGTAGGCTACCTCCCTGCTCTTGGTCATCAGGAGGGGACACTCAGACCATTTCCCTGACTGCCTTGGGCCCTGTGCCCTGGGCCTATGGGGGCTTGACTAGCAGGACCACAGGTCCTTCAGTGTCTCCCGGCCTCCCATCCTCTACTTTCTCCTGCCTTGTCCAAGCCTGGCCAGCACAGCCCACCTGTGTGTCTTGTGGGGTCATCAGCCCTAGGAGTAGCAGAGCCAAACCCAAGGGGGCTGAAGGGAACTGCCCAAGTAGCTCAAGGGGTCAGACGCCAGTCAGTGGCCAGAGAGGGTGCCCTCTGTTGTTATCCCTCCTCCTGTCCCGATATCCCTCCTGCTGCTCCCTGCCCCATGGCTGGCCAGAGTAAAATACCTCTCCATTCAGAGCTGGGCAGCTCCTCCAGCCTGCTCCCCCAGGGAACTATGGGGAAGCAGTTGGATTCCCTGGGGTTGCCCCGGCTTACCTGCCAGATCTGGCCGCAGGCATCGGGGTTTCTCGCAGGCCCTTGGGACTGGTGACAGGCAGACAGTGAGACAGAGCAGAGCTGCCTACCACCAGCTCTTTGTTGACATATCTCATGCTTCTTCATTGAACACTCCAGTCTTGCCAAACCTGTTCCTTGAGATGACTGGGCAGGAGCAGGGCAAGGTAGCCTAGAGTTTCTGCTGTTGACCTGGAGAGGGCGAGAGCTTTTTGCTGGCAACACGTGGACTTGCAGGGGCAGGGAAGCTGGTAGAGTGTCTGGCTGGGGTAGGTCTGAATCTGGCTGATTGGATTATTCCCCAGAGCACCAATACCAGGCCACACTGGAGCAGCCTCTTGACTCCAGAGTCTTCCTCCTAGTGGCTACATCTCTTCCATTTCGAGGGGCCGCATCCTGGGCAAAGTGGGAGGCTCAGGGGTGGGAACCTCAGTCCAAGTCCATAGTTAAAATCAGGCTGCCAGAGCCAGGCATGAGAGCCAAGAGCGTGGGCAGCCTGGTCAGCCTCTTGGCTGTGTGGTTCAGCAAGCATGAGTGTGTGTGCAGCAGAACACAGAGCTGTGTGCATGTGTGTGTAGAGCTGTGCTTCCAGAGAAGAATCAGCCACCCCCCAGGGGGTCTGGAAAGTTGCTTGTGTGAGGAGGTGGATTTGCAGAGAAGGCCTTCTTGATGCACCGAAGCTGAGTGACGGGTTCCTGCATGGTTCTGGGGGCTGGAAGAATGGTTTGTGAGCACACCTGGAAAGACTTTGCCTGTGGGTGACCCAGAGGAAGCATGAGGAGCTTCCCCTGGTTGCTGCGGGTCCTGTGCCGAGGCAGGGCACAGTGGGGGTCTGGTGATGGCAGCATGCACCTGTTTCTGTGCTCTCTCCCCACAGGGCCCTCCATTCAATACCCAGTCCAGGTGGCCCATCCCAACCTCAGCATTCAGGGCAGGCTCTGCAGGTGCTGGTGGCTCCTTCTCCTGCACGTGCTATTTCTTCCTCCTTCCTTGGGCAGGCAGGACCTCCTGTCCTTTTTTACCTGGCTTTCTTCTCTGGCTTCACCTTATGATGGCGCCAGTACCCCTCAGGCTGGTGGAGGCTACAGGCCCCATGACCATGGTACCTGCTTGTCTGCCGGTGCCCTTTCGATCTGCAGCTACCCTCTTTTCCTTTCTCACCAACCATGTGTGGCCAAGTGCCTTAGGCTGCTGAAGTGCCAGATGAACACATCCTAGGAACTGACTTCCGGGGTTTTCGGGTTCCTACCTCATGGGAACTGCTAGGAGAATTTGTGGGGCCCTCTTCCCCATTCTGACAAAAGCAAACCTGCACTGCGCTCAGACAGTACTTAGAGGTGCACAGTACACAGACCCCCATCACAAGGGTGTGTGGGGCCCCAGAGGCACGCATCCACCGCTCCGCTATGTGCCTGCTCTAGGGCTCTGTGTGGAGGCCCCAGCCCCTCCCTGTCCCCTCCAGCCCTGAACACTCTGTCAGCCGCTCCTCTCAGTCCTTACCCTCTAGTCAAGTTCCTGGCACCCTAGGTTCTTGAGCTTAATGCTAGGACACTCCCACTGAGGGCCAGAGAGGGAAAGGGGCTTGTATGAAGTCACCTGCTCGTCAGGGCAGGGCCTGTGTCTGCGCCCACTGGGTATGTTTGCTGAGGACCTGGCCTCCCTCCTGAGGGCCTTCCCTGATGCTGCCCCTGCCCTGCAGGCAACTTGTACTTAAACCAACACTCCCATGAAGGTGCCTGGGCCACACCTTTCAGCACATTCTGGTTCCTCTGGTGAATACTCTGCTTCCCTGCTCAGCCCTCTGGGCTTCCTCCTTATTTATTTTTTCTTTCTTTTTTAAAAATTGAGGTATGAATTTACATACAGTAAAATGCATAGATCTTGAATGTGCATGCAGTTCAGTGAGTTTTGATAAATAATACACATCCATGTAACCAACATGCAGATCAAGGTAGAGAACATTTCAAATGACCAAGAAAAGATTTTCCTTTTTGTAATGGCTTTGTTGTTTTGTAAAGGTGCACATACTGAAGCGTTCACAGAAGTTCAAAGAAAAGAGTAAAACTTTGTTGAAACCTCGGCACCCAGAGAAGTATCTGAGGTTAATGGTTTGACAGATGTCATGTCCTTCCAGAAAGAGCTCTGTGCAGATCTCACACACACCTGGCTTCCTGGATAGTTGACGCCACCTGCACAGGGAGGCATGTAGCTGAGGAGCTGGGATGGACGGCTTTGAGTCAGACCTGGCTTCCAGTCCCAGCTCCACCATTTTTCTAGCCAGAGTTAAATACCTTGACATGAGGCCTTGACATTCAGTTTTCTCATCTGCGAACAGGGTGTAATGATAGGTCCTATCTCTGGAGGTTGGGGAGCAGGATCAGTAAGGCCCACAGGTACCCTGTGCCCAGCTTAGCGCCTGGCTCAGAGAAGTGGGAACAGCTGGTAGCTATTGCTCAGAGAAGCAGCCTTCTGTCTTAAGGATGTGACATAATGTATCTGACTCCCGAATGAAATGTCTAGAGGTCCTTCCAGCCGCAGCTGGAGTGGACACTCTTGCCCTCATCGGTCTTCCTAGAGCCAGGTTTAAGGTTTCCAGGGCCCTTCCCTCCTTGCCCCTTTGCCCCTGCCCAGGCATTCCTTACCTGAGCTTCTCTTCCTGTCCTTGGGAAGGCCCAGTCTGTGATGGGCTTGGGTGGGCACTGCCCCTGGTGGAGGGCCCCCTCCCCTAATCCCTGGGCAGCCGTGTCCTGTCAGCAAAGCCCACCTCCATCCTCCCCAGCCCCTAATTTGTGCCCTTGCTTCTAGGAGCTGGACATGTCCCCTGGGGACCCCAAGTGGCTGGACGTGATTGAGCGTGACCTGCACCGGCAGTTCCCATTCCATGAGATGTTTGTGTCCCGGGGGGGCCACGGGTGAGCAGGCTGGGCCTCATGAGGTGGGAGGTGGCTCTAGGGCCTGTCTCTAAGGGGTCTAAGGAGGTACAGTGAGTTCAGGGCTTTAGAAGCTCGGTGCCCCCAACTCCACTCTTAGCATTTCCCTTTTTTTGGTTTGAGTCTGATGTGTGTTCTCAGCATCTCCTCTTACCTCTGGGGGGGCTTTCCTCATTGACTCCAGAGTGCTAGAGCTTGTCCAGCCTGGCCCTCTTCCGGAAACAGGTTTTGTTGGCGAGAAAGAGGGATAGAGGGAATTGGGTGAGTGGAGGGTATGCAGGGGAGAGATAGGGCAGGCAAGGGGACCAAGACAGATGCAGGGACAAAGCTGGCCCGGCCAAGGGGCCATAGCTGCTGAGTGAGGGGCCCCTACTTCCAGCCCTGACATAGCTTTACATCCCGCCCTGGCCCTGCTCCCTGTTTTCTCTTTGAGCCTCTGCCCTCCCCTGTCATGGGGGAGACCTTCCCCACCTCCTTCCTTCTGGGCACGTGAGAGTCCATGTGCTCCAGTAGGAGACTGACCCCTTGGTGACCACAAGCAGATCACCTTCCCTCTCAAGGGAGGGGCAGATTCTGAGGCTGGCTGGTCCACTGGGGCATAGGTGAAGGCCGTGGGTAGCAGAGTCACCCCGGTCATCACTGCTCTGCCCGGCCTCTCCACAGCCAGCAGGACCTATTCCGTGTGCTGAAGGCCTACACGCTGTACCGGCCCGAGGAGGGCTACTGCCAGGCCCAGGCGCCCATTGCCGCTGTCTTGCTCATGCATATGCCTGCTGAGGTACCACCAGGCCCCGGGCAGGCAGGGGGGTGGGTGGGGAACCCCCAACGGCAAGGCCTCACATCTCTCTTGCCCACAGCAAGCCTTCTGGTGCCTGGTACAGATCTGTGAGAAGTACCTGCCCGGCTACTACAGCGAGAAACTGGTGAGTGTCGCCTGGCCTGGGACTTGCCCTGGGCTGGACACCCTCTGTGGCCCCTCCAGGCCCTTCTCTCATAGTAACTCCTGCCCAGGTTAAAAACTTTCCGGCCTTCTGTTGCCTTGAGGCTGAAGTCCCAAGGCCTGCCAGGGTTAGGTCTCCTGGGTTACAATGTTATCCCTTCTACACTGACTTTCATCTCAGCCTCTAGCTGCTCTGGTCACTTTGCAGAATTGAAGTTCTTCCAGGGCACCAAGTTCTTCCCTCCCTTCGCCTTGGCCTTGTCCTAGGCTAAAATCTGCTTGGAAGCTCCCTTCCCCGTGCTGTCCCCTAAAAACTTCTCTTGTCCTTCAGCTTTTAGCCCTCAGGGAGCTTCCTTGACCCTGACAGGCGAGACCCTCCAGCACATGCTTGAGAGCAGTCCTGCTCCAGCCTTGTTAGGGGCATTCAGCCTCCTCCCCCTCCCCTAGCCTCTTTTGCTCATGTGCCCTTCTCAGGATAAGCTCCCTCCAGGGGACCAGCTGGCTCCGCTTTGCTCATCATTGTATCCTAGCACCTGGCAGAGGCAGACACCCTGCAGGCGGTAGCTGCCTGAGCCTGCTGGGTGCTGGGTGCTGGGTGCTGGGGTGTAGTCTCTGCCCTGGCTCCTGCAGCCCACGGTCATGGTCCCGTGGCCTCGATGTCTCCCTAGGAGGCGATCCAGCTGGACGGGGAGATCCTTTTCTCGCTGTTGCAGAAGGTGTCGCCGGTGGCCCACAAGCACCTCAGCCGTCAGAAGATCGACCCGCTCCTCTATATGACAGAATGGTTCATGTGCGCCTTCTCCCGAACCTTGCCCTGGAGCTCTGTGCTGCGTGTCTGGGACATGTTCTTCTGTGAAGGTACTGGGCTGGGCTTGGGGGGAGCACCCCTGTCCCCAGCAGCCCACAGTGGGGCCTCTCTTTGCAGAGAAACCCCAAAAAGCTTCCTTGTACTTACTGCCCATCCCCCATGCAGGGGTCAAGATCATCTTCCGGGTGGGGCTGGTGCTGCTGAAGCACGCGCTGGGCTCCCCTGAGAAGGTCAAAGCCTGCCAGGGCCAGTACGAGACCATCGAGCGACTGCGGAGCCTCAGCCCCAAGATCATGCAGGAGGCCTTTCTGGTCCAGGAGGTACAGCCCATGCCTGCCCCTTATCATGGGGAGGGAGGAAGACAGGTGGGGGTCCTTTGAAGGGGGTCCCGCTAACCCTCAGCCCCTGAGGGTGGATCCTATGCCAGGACCATTGCTAGGCAACACAGAACATGTGGGTGGACCTCATCCTTCTGTCTGGTGAAGAGCATGGGGCACAGAGAGGCTTGGCTCTGCAGGGCCTTCTGGATCCGAGCCGCTTGGGAATGAAGAAGAATGTTGACCCACGGCCCCGTCTTCCTCCCTGGTACCCCATTCGCAGCCTTGGCTCTTATTTCTCTTTGTTCTTTCTTTATGGATACTTGTCTCTCAGGGGCAATTAGGTGGAACATGCGTGACCAGCTTTTACACATGAGGAAATGGAGGCTCACAGAGGCAGAATCACTAAGCAACTCCCCTTAAAGTCACCCACCCAGGTGGAGCTGGAATTTGAGCCTAAGCAGCCAGGCTGCCCTGGGCAGCGGTGGGTGACAGGTTGGCAGAGAGCAGGTTTTTGTCTGTCTGGGTCTTACCCCTTTAGCCCCATAGTCAGGCAGGTGGACTCGTGAAGCTGTGGGCAGCTTTATCCTCTGAGGCGGTGGGTCTCAAGTGTCCAGCTCACCTGGCACTCAGCTGTGGGGCTCGTGACTGCAGCTTGGGACTAGACCCTCATCCTTCCTGGGGTCAGTGTTTAGTGGCCAAGGCTGGGGGATGCTGAGGAAGACTGGGGGCCCAGGCTGGGAGGCAGAAGGGGAAGGTCCTTCTTCTTGGTGTCCACTTGCCTGTGTCACTGCCCCTGCAGGTGGTGGAGTTGCCCGTGACAGAGCGCCAGATTGAGCGCGAACACCTCATTCAGCTGCGGCGCTGGCAGGAGACCCGGGGTGAGCTGCAGTGCCGCTCCCCGCCCAGGCTGCATGGTGCCAAGGCTATCTTGGATGCAGAACCTGGTCCCCGGCCTGCCCTACAACCTTCACCATCCATCCGCCTGCCCCTAGATGCCCCCCTCCCTGGCTCCAAAGCCAAGCCCAAGCCACCCAAGCAGGCCCAGAAGGAGCAGCGGAAACAGATGAAGGGGAGAGGGCAGCTGGAGAAGCCCCCAGCCCCAAATCAAGCCATGGTGGTGGCCGCTGCAGGAGATGCATGTCCCCCACAGCATGTGCCCCCGAAGGACTCAGCCCCCAAGGACTCAGCCCCTCAGGATTTGGCTCCCCAGGTCTCAGCCCACCACCGCTCCCAGGAGAGCTTGACGTCCCAAGAGAGTGAGGACACCTACTTGTAACCCTGGCAGCTAAGGCCTCCAGGGCGGGGTCTCCATATAACTACACGGTTCATGAACTGACATTCCACATCCTGCCCACCCTCTGAGGGCCAAGCTGCCTGGCCACTGGGCTGGGCTGGAGTCTGGCTGGTCCAACACAGATTCTGCCTGGTCCAACACAGATTCTGCCTGAGCCTCCTTATTTATTTTCTTTACAGTGGCACTCAGGCTGGCCCAGCCAGGGCAGGCAGAAGCTAGGGCCTGGGGGGTGGGGCCTCCTTCAGCCCCCTCCTCCTGGGGGATGCTCCCCAGGGTTAGGGTGCTGGTGTGAGGGGAAAGGGTGGGGTGTTCTTTGTGTAAAATAGAAACATGGTTTTGTACAGAAATAAACAGCCTTGTATAGAGAGCTCGTGTACAGCTAGGGGCTGGGAAGGGGGTACCACCTTGGTCACCTTGGTGCTCAGCATCTCTTCTCTTTGCCCTACAGAGCCCCTTCTCCTGGGCCCCAGCCCAGCACCAGAGCCTCTCTGAGAGGTACCTTTGCCAGAGGACATGCCAAGTCCCTGGTCAGCCCCCATTCTTAACCCCCATTTTCACTCACCCCATCCCCACTGCCTTATGTCTACCTTCTGCCACAGATGAGGGACACCAGGGCTGGAGCTCAGTGCTGGGCAGAGCAGGGCGTGCTCCCTAGGCCTTGGTCCTCACCCACCCACCAAGGGGGCAGGGACTCCTAAGGAGGAGGTTTCAGGGTCTTCCTCCTTCAAGTCCTGGCCTGGATGCTACCTCAGGCTCCAGTAAGTTTCTGAGAGCTGATTCTGGGTTGGGGTCAGGGACGGGGCCCGGAGTGGAGCACCACGAATGTCCTCACAGGCTCAGCCCAGGCCCTCAGGGAGGGGGGCGAATTGTGGTTCTTTGATAAAATGCCGCCTTCGATTTACTGCCAAGTGCCAGGCTGGACTGGTCAAGTAGGCTCCATTAGCCCCATTTAACAGACGAGGAAACAGGAGCTGAATGGGAAAGCCTCAGCCGGATTTGCACCAAGAGCCCCTCACTCAGCTTCCTCTCCTGACCAGGGCTCCAGGAGACCTGACTCTGCCCTTGAGGGCCCAGGCAGGCACTGCGGTCACAACCTGATGACTGGTGAGGGCAAGGACAGGGTGTCCCTGGGAGAGGCCCCCCTTCTGCTGAGGAAGCAGCTTTTCCAGTCAAACAATAGCGCTATTCCTGGCAGATGACCAAGCTGGGCCAGGCCAGGCCATAGCGGGAGGGGGCAGGAGAGGGAGGAGCAGAGCCTCCCTGGGAGCTTTCAGCCTTCGCCTGGGCCTGGAACATCCTGTCCTGGTACAGCTGGGGATACTGAGGCCTAGGGAGGTGAAGGGTTTCAAGAGACTATCAGGGTAGGCCACTCCACTTCCTGCCTCCTTCCCCTCAGCCCCATGGTTTCCCACTCTGTCTGCACCTGCCATTGATGAGATGGGCTCAGCCTTTGAGAAGCTCCTCCTTCCCCTAGTCCTCCAGGGGATAGGCCAGGATGTGGTGGCTACATAGTGTTTCACAGGAATGTGTCAAGCCCGAGAGTCCAGGGAGGAGGCTTAGCTTGGCTTCCATCTGCCTATGGTGGGGGCTCCAGAGCAGGCAGAGGGCCTGCTTAGGCCTGCTGGGTCCCAATCAGGCCTGAGGCCTGCTTTAGTCTACTTGGTTCAAAGCCTCACATCTGAGGCCTCAGGGTGCTCAGGCCAGGCAAGGGTCCCCTGGAGCATTCTCAGCCCTGCATGGAGCCAACATGGACATGCTGATGCCTGCTTAGCCTTGGGGGGGTCTTAGACCTGTGAAGGCCTGATAAGATCTGGGGTGTCTGCCAGTGCCGGGGGCCTCCTTGAACCTGAAGCAAGTTTAGATGTGCACAGGCTAGCTAAGGGCTGCAGGCTTTGGGGCTCAAGTTTCAGGCTTGAGGTCTGAGTACTCACTGAACCTCAGCTGCAAGGGCCTCCCCCACCAAAGTCTGAGCACTGGGCATTACTGGCTCAAGCACTTCCGGGTTTTGTTGGTATCGAGGGACCTCAAGCCTTAGGCCTTGGCCACCTGCAGCCCCCTAACCCAAAGTATGTCGCTCAGGCAGAGGTGGCTAGGATTCTACCTCTGTGTGCCCCTGGTGAGGAGCCTTCTATTTTGAAAGTTGGATGAAAGGAACAAGTGGGGCTACCAGGCCAGGTTTCAATTTGTCAGCCCCCTCGCAAGCGGGGAAGGGTAGGTATCAATCGCAATCCTGTGTTGGCGGCCCTGCCCCCTGCAGCCATGAGAGGCAGGAGAGCGAAAGGCGCCCGGGGGACAGCGCTGCACAGCAGACCTGTGCCTCTCATTGCTCCGGGGATTTGGGGGCAGCGTTCTGGTCCTAGCCGAGCTCCAGTTTGTTTCGTGTCCCTTCTGTCTCAAGGACTTCAATCATGAAACCCACGTGTGTGCCAGAAGGACAGAAACGTCCCCTCCGGGATGCTCCCACCGGCTGCGCAGCTGGCTTTCCGCGGAAAGGGCGGAGCCCAGGGAGGGGGCGCGTCAGGGGCGGGGCCTGGAGGAGTCAGACGGGGTGGGGTCTATCCCCGAGCCAGTACTAAAAAAGGCGGAGCCGTTCGGGGCGGTCTCGGTGGGCTGGCTGGAAAGCGGGATGAGGTTCTGGCGTTAGGAGGAGGCGTGACCACCCAATAGGCTTCTCTTCCCGCGGGGCGTGGCCGTCAAGGAGCCGGACGCCGCGCCTGGCTGGGCGGGTCAGCCTCGCAGCGGGCGGCGTGGACGCGGCAGCGCAGCGGCTCCTTTAAGGCTCGGGCACCACCCCCGCCGCCCCGCCTCCCGTGCGGCCTGGGTCTAGTTGGCGGCGGGGTCGGGTCCGCGCGAGCCGCGATGGAGCTGCACATCCTAGAACACCGGGTGCGGGTGCTGAGCGTCGCCCGTCCCGGTCTCTGGCTCTACACCCACCCGCTCATCAAGCTGCTCTTCCTGCCCCGCCGCAGCCGGTGCGCGCCCGGGTTCGGGAGCGCAGATAGGGGCTGGGGGCTCTGCTCTCGCTCCGGGCCAGGGTCGGAGGATTAGGATCGCCGTAAGGCAGGCAGGCAGGCGGGCGGGAGCGGGTGGGGAGGACTCTCCCCGTCCGGCCGCCATCCGGCCTGGGGGACCGCCGCCTATCCGGCCCCGTGAGGCCCCCTCCCAGGGGCAAAGCGCAAACAGCCTGGGATGGGCAATGCTTAACTCAGTAGTGTCAAATGGGGGCATTCCTACCTGGTCACTGCGGGGAGCTCCTTCCAGGACGCCTCCCTTCATGTCAGAGGGGCTGGACTAGGGGGTCCAAGGTCCGACGCCCCTGGGGCTGTCGCCGCGGGTGTGAACCTCTCCTCCCTCCAGGAGTGGAGGGGTGGAGGGTTCCTGGAGAGGTCGGGAGGCCGGAAAGTAGCCCCCAACCCCCGAGATGGGGCTAACATCCCATTGGCCTGGAAATTAAAGGCCGAGAGGGCAAGAAGGCGCCCGGCCCAGGGTCGCGGGGGTGTCTCGGGGCAGATGGAGAGAAATCCACTCCCGACCCCTAGTTCTCCACACCAAGCTGAAGATGCTCCCCACCCCCAACCAGGTGCAAGTTCTTCAGCCTGACGGAGACCCCTGAGGATTACACGCTTATGGTGGACGAGGAGGGCTTTAAAGGTGGGGGTTGGTCTGGGGAACGGGAGTACGGGAGGGGCTTGTCGTGCTCCCCTTCTGTAGGGTTCTCACCAGTTGCTGGGATCCGTCCCAAGAGCTTAAGCCTTAAAAGCAGATGGGTCGGGGTTCGAATCCTACTCCACCACTCCCTGGCTGTGTGCCCTTGAGCAAATCACTTTCCCTCTCTGAGCTGTTTTCTCTTATGTAAAATGGGTATAGTTATGGTTCTGATACATAGGGTCCCATGAGGCCTTTATAAACTTAAAACCGCTGAGGGGCACTCAGCAGTCTTAGGCCTGCAGAAGGGCCTCTGTTATGATTCCAGTCAAGTGCTGCTGTTAGAAATCCCTGGGTATTATTTCCTCCTGGTCTTACTCTCTGGTTTGGGTCACCTCCTCCCCTGCTGGTCTGGAAACTCCAGGAGTCTGAGGGAAGGAATGCAGGAGCAGGCAGCCATCTCAGGGGAGGGTCCTGGAGGCCTCCTGGCTGTGCTGGGGTGAATAGCAGCCACCCAGGCCCTGGCCCCAGCTCAGGACTGGACGCCAGCCTGGGCCCTCCCTGGGGCCTGGAGCTGACGCCTAGCTCCTCCTCCTGCTGCTGGCCCTGCCCATCCTCACAGGCTTGGAGTCTCAGGCCAGCTAGCTGGAGCTTAGCCTGTCCCCATGCTCCACTGCAGGCCTTAGTTTCCCTGTTTTTACTTCAGAAGTCTGGGTCTGCAAAAGGGGAAGGCAATCCCCCAGCCAACCTGATCTGCGAATGCCCCCTGGTGGTGCCATGTGGTACAAAGCTTCTGCTAACCCACAGAAGACACCGTAGTGAGGTAGATATTGTCGTCCCATTTTACAGATGAGGAAACTGAGACTCAAATCACCCACCCCAGGTCATAAGACAAATTAACAAAGCTGGGATTTGAACCCAGGTCTGTCTGAATCTGGACCTCTGATCTTAAGTGGGAAGTTTCAATGCCACCAGGCCAGCACTTGAAGCCTTTCTCAGTCTTTGCACACATAGGGACTTCAGGAGCCCCAGCCTCCAGACCTGCCCTTACCTTGATGGAGCCCTCCAAGGCACAGAAAGGGAAACTGAGGCTCAGAGAGGGGCAGGGGCCAGCCTTGTAGACCCTGACCTGACATGTCCCCTGCCCACAGAGCTGCCCCCATCTGAGTTCCTGCAAGTAGCTGAGGCCACATGGCTGGTGCTGAACGTGTCGTCTCACAGCGGTGCGGCAGTGCAGGCTGCTGGGGTCACCAAGATCGCCCGTTCGGTCATCGCGCCACTGGCCGAGCACCACGTGTCTGTGCTGATGCTGTCCACTTACCAGACGGACTTCATCCTGGTGAGTTTCCTGCTGGTGCTGATGCAGAGCAGGGTGGATATAGGTACCTGGGAGCCCATGTGATGTGCCATCTGCTGTGGCCCAGGTGCGGGAGCAGGACCTGTCCGTGGTGATCCACACGCTGGCCCAGGAGTTCGACATTTACCGCGAGGTGGGCGGAGAGCCTGTGCCTGTGACGAGGGATGATTCCAGCAATGGCTTTCCCCGCACTCAGCATGGTGAGGGCCGCCCCCTGACACTTGGACTTGGGCAGGGCCTCCTCTTCCCACTGGGTCCCTTCCCTTTTGGGCCCCAGTGGGGCAGGAGGACCCCGGCCAGTTCCTGGATAGCAAGACCTGCCCCTGGCCCACGCCTCTCCCTGACTAGCCACCAGGGGGCGCCCCAGCCCACGGACACCTTTTCACCTGCTGCTGTCCTCCAGCAGGGCCCAGCCCCACGGTGCATCCCATCCAGAGCCCACAGAACCGCTTCTGTGTCCTCACACTGGACCCTGAGACGCTTCCAGCCATCGCCACCACCCTCATAGATGTCCTCTTCTACTCGCACAGGTGGACCTTGGAACTTCGTCTTTGTCCTCACAGCACTGTTCCCTACACTCTGTCCCACCACTTTCCGCCCATCTATCAGTTTTGCACCTCTTGCTTGTCCTCTCTTGGGGTTCCTGGCAGCCCATGATGCTCACTTGTGCTTCACTGATGTTCGGGGAAGGTTCTTGCCCCAAAGCTGGATCCCTTTCCAGTGGGGTCGTCTGAGCCATGCCCTGGTCTGGCCCTCTCACCGTGGAATCCTTTGTTTTTGGCACAGGCTGGGTTCATTGTCCTCCCCCATCCCCACCCACACCTTCCAGAGGGCTGGACCCTTGGGCGGGTAGCAGATATGGCAGAGCCTGCCCAGGCCACCATACCAGCTCCTTCCCAGGGTTCTGGAGGCTGATCGGGAGCAGGGGCAGTAGGCTGGGTGCCTGGTAGAGCCCCTAAACCTCCCATCCCTCCCCAGCACCCCCAAGGAGGCAGCCTCTAGCAGTCCTGAACCCAGCTCCATCACGTTCTTTGCCTTCTCCCTCATCGAGGGTTATATCTCCATTGTCATGGATGCTGAAACACAGAAAAAGTAGGTGACCCCTGACCCCGGGTGGGCCCCAGGCCCCAGCCAGTCCCAGGCAGGGAGGAGGTGGGGCATCAGACTCTGAGGTCAGCAGGTGTACCTGTCCCAGAGCTCACGGTCAGGCAGGGGTGGATGGGGGTGCCCTGCCCATCACCCATCTCCCTCCCCAGGTTCCCCAGTGACCTCCTGCTGACCAGCTCCTCGGGGGAGCTGTGGAGGATGGTGCGCATCGGTGGACAGCCCCTGGGCTTTGGTGAGGGCTGTTCCCGGTGTTGGGGGGCTGGGGAGTGTCTGGGGAGCAACCGGCATGTGCCACATGTGGCCTTCCTCCACCACCCTCAGATGAATGTGGCATCGTGGCACAGATTGCAGGTCCCCTGGCTGCCGCTGACATCTCTGCCTACTACATCAGCACCTTCAACTTCGACCACGCCCTGGTGAGCACCAAGGGCTGGGGCAGAGGGGAGAGTGAGGCCCAGAAATGTGGGCGGCAGGAGGTAGTCTCAGCTGGGCCAGGAAGTCAGGGGTGGCCCTGGCCAGCTTCCGCCTTGACCCTTCCCTCCTGCCCACCTGCCCTCAGGTGCCCGAGGACGGTATCGGCAGCGTCATCGAGGTCCTCCAGCGGCGGCAGGAAGGCCTGGCTTCCTGAGGCCCATGGGCAACAGAGCAGCCTCCCTGCTCTCCCCTCGACCCAGGCTTCCAAAGACTTCTCTAAGCTATTTCCTTAAGCTCTGGAACGAGCCCCCTGTTCTGCTGGGGACCCTCGTTCCGCTCTCTGTATGTAAGCTGCGTGCAGGCACCGGCTTTTACGCGGACACCTGTGTACACTCACAGGTGGAGTGGGCAGGTGCTAGCCTGACTGCGTGTCTGCCCATGCAGGGGAACACGGTGCTCGGGGCTTAAGCCCCCAACCCATCACTCCCTGCGCAGCCTCGGCGTTTGCACAGTCCCTGCCTGAGGCCTGAGCCATTCCCCAAAGGCTTCCTGGGCCAGCTGCCCCGCTGACCTCCGTTCTGCCTCTGGTGGGGTTGCCTTCCCTGGCCAGGTGAGTCCTGACAGTGCCTCTCCCTCCTGGGGCCTCCAAGGAAAGTATTTTGACATCTCTCTCTCTTCTGTTTTTATTGACTTGTTAATAAAGGACTTTGTAGTGACTGGGTTGGGCTACGGTCCTTGGGGGTCCTCTGGGTCTGAGTCTCAGCCATGGCTCCACCTCATGGTCCCCTCCATCTGAGGTCTTGGTCTCTCTCTGTGTAGCTGGCTGGGGGCTGGGCTCACCTGGCTTTGCCTCATTCACCTCTCACCACAGCTCAGTAAACCATCACCATTTTCCAGACGAGGAACCGAAGCTTTGAGAGGTGACATGACTTAGCCAAGGTCACATGATTCCCCTTCCCATGCCTGCCTTTGAAATCTGGGGTGTTCCCAGATTTCAGAATAGCTTCCAAATAGCCCAGAGGGTTCTGAACCTTGGCAGAGAGTCCCAGACCCTCCTGTCTGGGGAAGTCTCCCAGCCTTCCCTGTCATTGTGGATATGGCCGGCCTGCTATGAAACCCACCAAAGAGGGCCCAAAAGCACTTTTCTTTCTTCCAGCCCGCTGCCTGCTTTTTTCTGGGTCCTGCCTGAGTTCTGGCCGTCCCTCTTGTTGGCTAAGAGATCAGTCAGTTCTTAACACCAGGGCTCTCCTGGAGTCATTCCTAAAGTTCAGGGCCAGGAGGATGGGACAGGGACCTGGAGGCCACCTGGAGCCTGCTCTGTCCTCCGGGGCCGCCTCCCTGCTTGGTGAGGCTGGGATCCTGCTATTGCCTGATGGGGCCCCACAGATGACCCAGGGAGACTATCGGGTTCCCTCAGCCCAGACCCACCCATGCTCAGGCAGGGAAGAAGGGTGTGACTTCTGTGTACTCAGAGGTCGTGGTGGCTCCTCAGAAAAGCCAGAACAGGGACAGGCCTCTGGCAATGCGCCCGCCCTGCTCCTGGGGACCAGGGGTCTGGGGCCTCGGGCTACAGATCACAGGAGCCAAGAGCACAGCACAGCCTGGTGAGTGAGCAGCAGGGGCCCCCCGGGCCAGCCCTTCGCTTCAGCCTCAGTTTCCCCATGTGCATGGAGACCTAGGAGACAGCTCTTTCAGGAACATGGGGAGGGGGGCATTTCTTTGGAGTTTGACTTTTTTTTTTTTTTTTAATGGAGTCTCGCTCTGTCTCCCAGGCTGGAGTGCAGTGGCACAATCTCAGCTCACTGCAACCTCCACCTCCCGGGTTCAAGAGATTCTTCTGCCTCAACCTCATGAATAGCTGGGATTACAGGGGGCCGCCACGATGCCAGGCTAATTTTTGTGTTTTTACTAGAGACAGGGTTTCACCACATTGGCCAGGGTGGTCTTGGACTCCTGACCTCAAGTGATCCGCCTGCCTTGGCCTCCCAAAGTGCCACACCAGGCCGAGTTTGTCTTTTGTTGGGGGAGGGGGGTTGGGGGAGTAGGAGTCCCAGTTCCTCTCTTTTGAGGGCCTGGTGTGGGCCCTGGCTTGGGGGATGTCTGGGCTTGAGGTGGGAGCTTCAGAGTCAGGATTCTTGGGGCTGTTTAACCTACAGCTAGTGGGCTCCTGGCCCCATATCCAGCCCTGGGGGTCTCACCATCTGTCTGTCTGCCTATGAGTCATTGCCTGGTTTGGTGTTCCTGTCACCCCGGCTCACCAAGGGCCTCAGGCCTCTCTTGGGTCCCTCATACCAAGTCCCAACCTGGCCTCCGCTAGTTCTTGGGGTTGTCCACGAGGCTGGCCTGGGTGAGGGGCCACAGGTGCACCACTGCGGGCTGCTCTGACTCACACAGGCCTGAGGTCAGTGTGCCTGTGTGTGTCTCTGCCACATACCTGTGTGTCTGTGTGGAGGATTTTTAGCTCCTAGATAATAGGGTCCTTAGGGGTCACTGGGCCAGCTCTTCGCCTCCAGCAGGCTACAGATAGGGCCACCTTCCTAGGAGTGCTGGGGAGATCATGAGACCAAGCTGGGCTCAGGGGCACAGAACTTGGGAAGTGCCCCAGGGACACACAGATGAGAAAGTGGGGGGCATCTTCCAGGAACGTGACCCGGAATCTCACACGCAGCTGATGCTGTGTGTCAGGTCAGACAGGCTGACCTTGAGATCTCTCAGGTTAAGGTGGAGACTCACAGAGCTACCTCCTAGTCCCATCCAGGCCCCCAGAGAGTCCTGGGGCACAGGAAGCTGGTCTGGTCAGCCTGGGTCCGGGGTTGGGCTCCATGTGGGTCATTCATAACCGAGGTTGGGGGCACTTACTGGCATGCAGCCCACATCCTTCACCTTGGGAGCTCTTGGTCACCTGTCCACATCAGCACAGGCTGGGGAGCCGAAGTGCCTGTCTTCATAAAGATGGTAGCAGGTCCCAGGGAGGGGCCTGCCCACGGTCCCTCAGGGAGAGGGAGGGGGCTCTCTGCCCTCCAACTGCCAGCCTGGTGCCCAGCATCTGCAGGGAGGATGTGGGCCTGGGTGGGTGGGGACGGGAGATGAGGAAACCTCAGCCAGGCAGAGTCAGCGGATTACTTCCACCCTTTCTCATCTTCATGCCTAGACAGAGGAAGTGAACTCCTAAATTCCCCTCTCCGAAATACTGGAGCAGAGATTTAGGATTTAAAGTCCTCATCTCCCTCCCAGGTGGGTGAGGCTGCTGGGTCGCATGCTTGCCAAATGGTTCCACAGCTGGCTTTTTGGTTCTCTGTAGAGGTGAGAAGAAACTGTACATGTTCTTCATCTTCCTCTGGGACCCAGGATCCTGCCCAGTGGGAAGGGCCTGAGCAGGAGGCAGGAGAAAGGAGTAGCCGGGGATGCTGAGCCGTCTGCGGCTGGCTTACTGAGCGAGCACAGGGAAGCCACTTCCCTCATTCGCCTGTATGGGAGGGCAGGTGTTGTGCTTGGTTAATTTACATCTATACAGTCTACATGTTGCTTAAGGAGAGGGGATACATTCTGAGAAATGCATCATTAGGCGATTTGGTTGTCGTATGAACGTCATAGAGTGTACTCACACAAACCTAGTTGGGATAGCCTGCTACACACCTGGGCCAGCTGGGCTAGCCTGTTGCTCCTGGGCTGCAAACCTGTACAGCATGTTTCTGTGCTGAATACTGTAGGCAGTTATAATGCAATGGCGAGTGCTTACATACCTAAACATAGACAAGGCACAGTAAAAATGCGGTATAAAAAAAGCATAGCCAGGTGTGGTGGCTCACACCTGTAACCCCAGCACTTTGGGAGGTTGACGCAGGAGAATCACTTGAGCCTAGGAGTTTTACCCAGGTGGAGACCAGTCTGGACAACATGGCGAAAGCCCAT
This sequence comes from Homo sapiens, assembly GCF_000001405.40. NCBI lineage: Eukaryota > Metazoa > Chordata > Mammalia > Primates > Hominidae > Homo > Homo sapiens. Next base: position 30,281,921 of record NC_000022.11, on the reverse strand, counting down.
CTGTACAATAATAATAATAATAATTTTAAAATCGCTGGGCATGTGGCTCACATCTGTAATCCCAGCAGTTTGGGAGGCTGAGGCGGGTGGATCATGAGGTCAAGAGATTGAGACCATCCTGACCAACATGGTGAAACCCCTTCTCTACTAAAAATACCAAAAATAATTAGCTGGGCATGGTGGCACGCGCCTGTAGTCCTAGCTACTCTGAAGACTGAGGCAGGAGAATGGCGTGAATCTGGGAGGCAGAGCTTGCAGTGAGCCGAGATTGCACCACTGCACCCCAGCCTGGGCAACAGAACAAGACTCTGTCTAAAAAAAAAAAGAAAAAAAGCTAGGGCCGGGCACGGTCGCTCACGCCTGTAATCCCAGCACTTTGGGAGGCCAAGGCGGGCAGATCACAAGGTCAGGAGATCGAGACCATTCTGGCTAACATAGTGAAACCCCGTCTGTAGTAAAAATACAAAAAAAAAAAAAAAAAAAAAAATTAGCCAGGCGTGGTGGCGGGCACCTGTAGTCCCAGCTACTTGGGAGGCTGAGGCAGGAGAATGGTGTGAATCTGGGAGGCGGAGCTTGCAGTGAGCCAAGATCACGCCACTGCACTCCAGCCTGGGCGACAGAGCGAGACTCTGTCTCAAAAAATAAAAAAAAAAAAAGCTGGGCATGGTGGTGTGTGCCTGTAGTCCTAGCTACTCAGCTACTCAAGAGGCTGTGAGGAGGGAGGATCACTTGATCCCAGGAGTTGAAGGCTACAGTGAGTTATGATCATGCCACTGCACTCCAGCCTGGGTGACAGAGCAAGACTCTGTCTCTCAATTAATTAATTATAAAAACAGTACACCCACCAGGCGTGGTGGCTCACGCCTGTGATCCCAACACTTTGGGAGGCCGAGGTGGGCAGATCACAAGGTCAGGAGTTTGAGACTAGCCTGGTCAACATGGTGAAACCCCACCTCTACTAAAAATACAAAAATTAGCCAGGCATGGTGGTGCACGCCTATAATCCTAGCTACTCGGGAGGCTGAGGCAGGACAATTGCTTGAACCCAGAAGGTGGAGGTTGCAGTGAGCTGAGATCGCACCACTGCACTCCCGCCTGGGGGACAGAGCGAGACTCCATCTCGGAAACAAAACAAAACAAAATAAAAAATACCCAAATAGGACATTTACCATGAATAAAGCTTGCAAGACTAGAAGTTGCTCGGGGTGAGTCAGTGAGTGAGTGTGAGTGAATGTGAAGGCTTAGGACGTTACCGTACATTACTGTAGACTTGATAAACACTGTATACTTAGGCTACACTAAATTTACTAAAAATATTTTTCTTTCTTCAATGATAAATGAACCTTCACTTACTATAACGTTTTACTTTGTAAACTTTTATTTTTTTAATTTTTAAATCTTTTGTATTAACACTCAGCTTAAAACACATTGTACAGCTAAACAAAAATATTTTCTTTATATCCTTACTGCATAAGCTTTTTTCTATTTTAAAATTAAATTTTTTACAACTTTTTAAACATTTTTGTTAAAAAAACTAAGACCAAGCCGGGCACAGTGAGTCATGCCTGTAATCCTAGCACTTTGGGAGGCCAAGGCAGAAGGACTACATGAGCCCAGGAATTCGAGACCAGCATGGGCAACATGGCAAGACCCTGTCTCTACAAAAAATAAAAATTAGCTGGGTGTAGTGGTACGCACCTGTGCTCCCAGCTACTCAGGAGGTGGGAGTGGGAGGATTGCTTGGGCTCAGGAGGTCAAGGCTGCAGTGAACTGTGTTTACGCCACTGCACTCTAGCCTGGGCAACAGAGCAAGACCCTGTCTCAAAAAACAAAAACAAAAACCCACCAAAACTATGACCAACACGCACACACTAACACACTAGCCTAGGTCTATACAAGGTTGGATCATCCAGACATCACTAGACGCCAGGAACCTTTGAGCTCTATTATAATCTTGCAGGACCACCATCATATATGTGGTTCATCATTGATGCAAATGTTATGCGGTGCATGACTGTATATTCAACGCATGCTCTTGTTATCCCTATTTTACCCAGGTGGACATGAAGCACAGAGAGGTGAAGTGCCTTGCCCAGTGTCACACAGCTGGGCAGTGCGGAACCAGAATTCCAAAAGAAGGTTAGGAGTCCCCACAGGAGCCTGGGGAGTTTCCTTGGGCAAAGAGACAATTTAGCTGAACCCTGAGGGATGGGAGATTTTGCAAGATCCCTTGCAATCCCAGCTGTCTGCGTCGGTGGCCGGGTGTCTGCTGCTGGTGGCAACGGATGTGTGGGCGGGCACGCGAGGCCTGGCCCTGGCTCCTTCCTGACCCAGGGCTGGCAGGGTGGGTGTGTTGGGCAATGGCCGCGGTTTGCATCTCACTTTCCCAGGCAAGCCCCGGCACTGGGGTTCCAGAGCCAGGCTGCCTCTTATGGGGTACCCAGAGCTGCCTTCCCGGGGGTTGGTCATGGTGCCATGTGGATGTGTGTGCTGCATGGGTGACTGTGCCGCAGGGGTGTCTGCAAGCTGCACGGGTGTGTGTACTGCATGGGTGCATGCTGCTTGGGTGTGTGTGGGCAGCATTGCCTTTGCAGTGAGTGCAGACCTCTGTGTATACGTCTCTACAGATGAGTCTGTTTTGGCAGGAAGGTGCACATGTATGTGAGACAGTTTACCCACATGTAGAAGTGACGTTGTGTCCTGGTGTGGGTGTGTACTTGGACCTCTATTGGAGGTCAGGCTGTCTGTGGGTGTACATGTATCTGCTTACATAAGAACACTGGCTCTCTTTCTGCATGTGTGCCTGCCTGCATGTATATGGCTGTATGTGTCTGTGCGTCTGTGTATGTGTGTACACATGTGAGTGTTGGGGGGGGTCTATGTTTCTGCAAGTCTGTTTTTCTATGTGTCAGGGCTGGTTTTGTATGTTTTTGAGAGTATGCGTGCATGGAGGCATCTTCCATGTTTTTTTTTGTTTTGTTTTTTGAGACAGGTCTCACTCTGTCACCCAGGCTGGAATGCAGTAGCACGATCTCGGCTCACTGCAACCTCTGCCTCCCAGGCTCAGCCGCTTCTCCTGCCTCAGCCTCCCAAGTAGCTGGGATTACAGGCGTGCGCCACCACGCCCGGCTAATTTTTGTATTTTCAGTCAAGTTAGTCACCATGTTAATCAGGCTGGTCTCAAACTCCTGACCTCAGGTGATCCACACTTGGCCTCCCAAAGTGCTAAGATTACAGGCATGAGCCACAGCGCCCAGCCGTCTTTCACGTTTTTGTGTTCACACATGTGCCTATGTGTACCCTCTTGTCTACTTCTCTACCCTGAACCCACATGCCCTCAGGCCTCCCTGCCTCTCCCTGATCAGGGGACATTTGCTACTGCACTGCCACCTCCCCCAGTGCTGGTTCCAGTGCCCAGCTCTCAGAAGGCCCAGCTCCCATGCAGTCACCAGTACCCTCCACCTTCCATCTTCCTGCCCTGGCTCCCTCAGCCTTGGCCTCTCCAGTTTCCCTCCTACCCGCTCCCTCCTCTCCTTCTCTGTCCCCTTCTTCTGTCTGCAGCCAGAAGCACGACTGCCCCTCCTTTCTGCCCACTGTGCCCAGAGCTGCTCAGCCTGGACTCTGCTCAGCCAGCCTGCCCTGACACAGAGCCCCCCCACCCTGCTGGCTCTCCAGCCCAGTGCTCCTCCCCAGTCGGCACCCCATGCTTTCCAGGGACCGGATTCAGCCACGGATGTCCTCTCCTCTGTTGCTGTCTTAGACTCCCCGCTGGCCTCCCTGCCTCAGTCTCAATCCTAGTGTGTCCTCTCCCTCCCTGATCACAGCCCCCTGCTCACGAGACCTGCCTTTGAGACCTCCCAGCCTGCACCAGCTTTCCGGTTGGCGCCTCCCCATGCTTGTTCTCTCCCAAAGAGGAAAGCCTTCCCAGCTGCCATCAGGCAGTGTCCTAAGCCAGCATGCCTCGGCCTTTGCAACTTAAGTGAGGCTTTTCTGTGTCTAAGAATAAGAGCTCTTAGATAAGTGCACAATAGGCAATAAAACAGGAAGAGCCAGGGGAGGCCCTTGGACTTTCTCCTGCCCCCTTGACGTCTGACTCACTGTCTTCCAGCCCCCTTGGCTTTCCTGGGGTGGTTGTGTTTTTCAGCTCTGCCTTAAAAATTTTTTTTAATTGCAATGAGCTTCACATAATATATAAAACCAGCCATTTTAAAAATGACTAATTGGGCTGGGTGCCATGCCTGTAATCCCAGCGCTTTGGAAGGCTGAGGTGGGCGGATCACTTGCGCTCAGGAGTTTGAGACCAGCCTGGGCAACATGGCAAAACCCCATCTCTACTAAAAGCTAGCCGGGCCTGTTGGCACGTGCCTGTAGTCCCAGCTGCAGGGGGTGGCTTGAGGTGACTTCAGCCCAGGAGATGGAGGTTGCAGTGAGCTGAGATCATGCCATTGCACTCCAGCCTGGGCAAAGGAGCCAGACCTTATCTCCAAAAAAAAAAAAAAAAGAAAAAGAAAAAAGAAAAAAAAAAAAACAAATTCAGGAATTCGGGGCCCTTTCGTACATTCACAATGTTGCACAACTGTCTAGTTCTGAAACATCTTCATGAATCCAAAAAGAAACCCCACGTTCATTAATAGCCACTCCCCATTCCTCCCTCCCCCGGCCCCTGGCGACCACCAGTCTGCATTCTGTCTCTATGGATTTGCCTATGGTGGATATTTCTTGCAATGGAATTGTGTAATAGGTGACATTTTGCATCTAGATTCTTTGGTTCAGCATAACGTCTTTGGGGTTCATCCACGTTGCAGTGTGTTTTAGTGCTTCACTCTTTTTTATGGCTGAATAATAGTCCATGGTTTGCGTAGACCACATTTTGTTTCTTTTCTCTTTTTTTTGAGATAGAGTTTCACTCTTGTCGCCCAGGCTGGAGTGCAATGGCGCCATCTTGGCTCATTGCAACCTCCACCTCCCGGTTCAAGAGATTCTCTTGCCTTAGCCTCCTGAGTAGCTGGGACTACAGGCGCCCGCCACCACGCCCGGCTAATTTTTGTATTTTTAGTAGAGATGGCGTTTCACCATGTTGGCCAGGCTGATTTTGAACTCCTGACCTCAGGTGATCCACCTGCCTCAGCCCCCCAAAGTGCTGGGATTACAGGCATGAGCCACCGTGCCCGGCTGTATTATCTGTTAAAGGACATTTGGGTTGTTTTCACCTTTCGGTTACTAAGCTCTGCCTTCTTGACTGTGGAGGCGCCCAGCACTTGTGTTTAATGACACATTGTTCTGCCTTCCTTCTGTATATGCTTGTTCTGTGGACAGAGTGACCTGGCCCTGGCCAGTCACCCTCTATCACCCATTGAATGGCCACCAGCAGGCCCTTGGATGGAGCAAGCGCTGATGGCCTTCTCTCCCCTCAGAACTACCGGATTTGTTTCTCTTTTTCGTATCAGAATAAACACCCTGAGTTTCCTTGGTGTCTCTCCGAGAATAAGACGGGGAGGAAAGCTACCCTTGCACAGCGCCTGTCCCAGGGCACTTCCTCCAGGTGGTGATCCACATCCCTGGGAGCCCCACCTCTTTGTCCCAGACTTCCCCTTGGGATCAGGGCTGTCATTTGTAGACAGCCCCACTGGGACCCTGGCCGCTTCCCACCATCTTCTGCAGTTGCCTCTTTGTTGGGCAAAGACTCTGAGGTTTTGCAGCACTTGCTGTGCCCGTGCAGCTGGCACCAACAGAACGTTCTGAGTCTGACCAACTTCCTCCCTGTCCTCCGTGCCTCCTGCCTCTATCTTCATGCTTGTGTGGGACGAAGGACTCCCAGCTCCAAGTGCCAGAAAACCAGCACAGCTAGCAAAGAGGGGACCTGTGTCTTGTCCCGTGTGGCTGGGACACACCACGTGTATGTCCCTGGCTTCAACAGGGATCAGGGCTCAGGGAGACCCCTCAGCCTCCCTGGCTGCGCCGGGCACATTCTTGTCCACTCTGCAGGACCCCACACCTCTGCCTGTGAGGCTGGGGAAGGTGGTTTTCCATAGCGGCAGATTAGTGATATCCCAGCCATGTGACAGAGGTATGCTTCCTGAGTCTGACGTCATTCCAGGGAAGGATTCTGATTGGTGCTGTTCAGGACACAGGTGCATTGCTACACCACAAAAGCGAGGGTGAGTCAGGTGCTCCCTTCTGTGGCCTGGGTTGAGAAATGGGTGGTCCATCAGTGGGTTTTCCAGACCCTTCCATGTGCCGGGTGTTGGCCCTTGTATGCACATGTGTGAGCGTGTGCGTTTACTCACCCTTCAAAACCTGGCTATAAAAAGACATTCGGTGCAGATTCATTTGACCGGAAGCCTTTTCCTTCTCTCTGATTTATCCTCCACATCTAGCCTGTGCCCAGCACACACAGTGGGTACTTAAATATAGGTCAAATGACAGACTGAGAACCCACTGTGATTTGTCTGTTTTTGCAAAAGGTAGGACTGCCCCCTTCCACGAAGACCAATCTCTTTCTATGAGACCATCAGGTGCCACTCATGTGGAATTCATTCTGAAGTGAACCCTTTAAAAGAAGCACCAGTGGCTTTTTCTTTTTTAGTCAATTTTCCGGGAAAGTGCTGAAATCTGCAGTGAGTGAAAGAGCAGATTTTGATTTCCCTTTAAAAAAATTATCATAAAAGAGAAACTCAGCGTCTTTGAAATTGAAGCTTCCCAGAAACAAAATCACATGCTCTGATGGACTGTGATTGATAGAGTTCTGATTCTTCGGGAGAGGGGACCGGGAGAATGCATGGAAAAGGGCCTGAGAGACTTGTTCCTGCCCACAGCGAGATGGCCCTGCACTTCCAGAGGCCTGGCTCTGGGTTCACCAGATGTGGGACAGGGACGCCTCTGGGTCCTGCAGCCTGGGAGCCACAGCTCACCTTTCCCCAGGCTTCTAAAGATGGCTGCAGCTATATGGCTGTGCATTCATCGGTTCACCAAGAATGTATGGAGAGCCTATTACATTCTGGGGGCTTTGCTGTGCTCTGGAGAGGCAATGGGGGTGGGGGCCACAACCACAGTATACACCCTCTGAGAGTTTCCAGTCTGGCTGGAGAGACAACCTCATAGTTTTAAAAATGTACACCTCTGAAGAGCGTGGTGTGGAGGGATACGTGGTACTCTGGGAGGGTGCCAGGAGGCGGGTTGGGACCAGCCTGGGGTGAGGAAGGTCAGGGAGGTCTTCCCTGAAAAGGTGCAGCGTGGACTGGACGTTGATATCTAGGTGGCAGGTCACAGGTAGAGTGCTCAGGAAGTGGGAACGGCATGTGCAAAGGCCCTGAGGTGAGAGCTGCTCCCGGAAGGACTGAGGAAGGCCAGAGAAAGGCAGGCAAAAGAAAGGTACTAGTGAGGCTGGGAGGTGGGCAGGACCTGGTGGCTGTGGTAATGACTTTGGCCTTATCAGAATGGCAATGGGAAGACAGGGACTGTTTAAGCAGAAGGACTCGACCCGGCTGTGTGGTATGAGCCCCTCCCTAGGGGCCGCAAAAGCAACAAAGCCTAGTGGGATGCCATCACCCCTCACTCCTCATCTTCCTCCCTGTCAGACTTCCAGCCACACCTGCCATTCTCTGAACTAGGCCTGTGCCGTCCTGCGCCCTGGCTGGCCTCCCACTGTGACAGGGAACCTCCTCCCTCTCCTGGCTCCTTCCCCAAGCTGTTGTTTTTGCTTTCCTCAAGCCACTTGGCAACATCAGTTCTGGACAACCCATTGGGCATGCGGGTCGATCTGGTGGCTCTAGGAGGGTGCCTGGGCTCCAGTGTGCCTTTGCTCCCTCCCAGGTCTCTGCCTCTCAGGCCTCAGCTTCACCATCTGCAGGACAAAATAATGATACTTGCCTCCTAAAGTGGTTACAAGGATTCAATGCTTAGGACTGGGACCAGTACGCAGAGGTTGCTCCAGAAATATTCCCGATAATGATGACTGGTACCCCATTCACCCAAACATTTTTGGCCAGACTCTGACGTTTCAAAATAGGCATGGTATGTTGTCATCACGAGAAAAGTCAGACTAGACTTCCTTATCTTTGTTTGATGCTGAGGGTAGTTTTTAGTTAGCATAGTATTTTAGTGCTTAGAGCCGCTAAGGGGCTCTGCCTGGCTCTGTAGGGTTCTGGGCATTCTGTGGTCATCTCACATGTCCCCTCATCTCAGGACAGGATCCTGGACTCAAAGAGAGCAGCAGCGGGGGTTTCCAGGCCAGCCAGAGAGTGGGCAGTGGTGGGGCCTTGTCTGAGGATCTTTGGATTCGGTTGCCATGAGGCAGACAGTTGGAGGTTACTGCACAGAACGGGGTTCCTTCTCCTACACCTGTGGGTGGACACTCCAGGTCCCAGAAGAACTCCGTGGAGGTTGCAAGCCAAGGGATCCCCCCTCCCATCCCAATGTGACCTCGATGACCTTCTGGGGAGGGTGCTTGGTGGCTCCTTGTTCACCCTGGGGTTTATGTAACACCGCCTTTCCCAATCTCCCTCAAAGCCACCGTGTGACATAAGCAAATGCCTGCCTTCGTCTGCCCTGGCGGCTGGCGGGTAAGTGTGACCGAGCACCTGCTCCAATGTGCCAGGCGCTCACGTACTCACCTCACTGCATTTTGCTGACTGTCCTACAAGGTGCATTTGCTACTGCATTTTAAAACATTCAGATACAACTCACCTACCAGCAATTGTATCATTTTAAAGTGTATGATTTGGGGGTTTTGGGTATATTCACATGGTTGTGCAACCATCGCCACTATGTAATTCCAGAATATCTTCATCACCTCCAAAGAAACCTCGTGCCCATTAGCAGTCTCTCCCCAGCCCTGGATGCCCCAGCCCCCAGCAGCCACTGGTGTATTCTCTGTGTCTCTCCATGTGCCTATTCCCGACATTTCCCATAGCAGAATCATACAACATGTGGCCTTTTGTGTCTGGCTTCTTTCATGCAGCATCATGGTTTCAAGGTTCATGCATGTTGTGGCACATGGCAATGCTTCCTTCCGTTTTGTGACTTAATATTCCTTTGTATGGATAGAACACATTTTGTTTATCCATTTTCTATTGACAGACATTTGGGTTGCTTCCACTTTTTGGCTATGCCGAATAATTGCTCCTATGAACATTTGCAAGTTTTTGTGTGGATGTACGTTTCCTTCCTTCCTCCCTCTCTCCCACTCTCTCTTTCTCTCTTTCTTATTTTTTTTGGCGTTTCGCTCTTGTTGCCAGGCTAGAGAGCAAAGGCGCGATCTCAGCTCACTGCAGCTTCCACCTCCCAGATTCAAGTGATTCTCCTGCCTCAGTCTCCTGAGTAGCTAGGATTACAGGCGTGCGCCACCATGCCCAGCTAATTTTTGTATCTTTAGTAGAGATGGAGTTTCACCATGTTGGCCAGGCTGGTCTTGAACTCCCGACCTCAGGTGATCCACCTGCCTTGGCTTCCCAAAGTGCTGGGATTAAAGGTGTGAACCACCGTGCTCAGCCTCTTTTTTTTTTTTGTCCAGAGACAGAGTCTCACTCTGTCACTCAGGCTGGAGTGCAGTGGTATGAATATGGCTCACTGCAGCCTTGACCTCGCAGGCTCAAGTGATCTTTCGGTCTCAGCTTCCTGAGTAGCTGGGACCACACAGGTGCAAGCCACCATGCTCAGCTAATTTTTAAATGTTTTGTAGAGATGGGGTCTCACTTTTTTGGCCAGGCTGGTCTTGAACTCCTGGGCTCAAGTGATCCTCCCATCTTGGCCTCCCAAAGTGCTGGGATTACAGGTCTGACCACTGCACCTGGCCTATGTTTTCAATTCTCTTGGGTGTATATCTAGGAGTGGAATTGTTGGTTATATGATATCTCTATTTATTTTTTTTTTTTTTGAGACAGTGTCTCACTCTGTCACCCAGACTGGAGGGTAGTGGCACAATCTTGGCTCACTGCAACCTCCGCCTCCCAGGTTCAAGCAATTCTCCTGCCTCAGTCTCCCGAGTAGCTGGGACTACCGGCGAGTGCTACCATGCCTGCGTAATTTTTTGTACTTTTAGTAGAGTTGGAGTTTCACTACGTTGGCCAGGCTGGTCTCAAACTCCTGGCCTCAAGTGATCTGCCGGCCTCAGCCTCCCAAAGTGCTGGGATTACAGGCGTGAGCCACTGCCTCTGGCCTCTGTGTTTAACCATTTGCGGAACTGCCAAACTGTTTTCCAATTTGGTGGCACCATTCATTGTAGATTCCCACCAGCAATGCCCCAGGGTTCTCATCTCTCCATCTCCTCGTTAGCACTTGTAATTGTCTACCTTTGATTATAGCCACCCTAGTGAATGTGGAATGGCTTCTCATGGTGGTTTTGATTTGCATTTCCCTGGTGTTTAGCATCTTTTCACGTGCTTCTTGGCCATTTGTATATCTTCTTTTTTTTGGAGAAATGTCTATTAAAATCCTTTGCCCATTTTTAAATTGGATTGCTTGTCTTTTTCATTGTTGTTCAGTTGTCATTGCAGTTTAAAAAGAGGAAACTGAGGCTCAGAAGGGGGACATGACTGGTCCAGGGACACTGGGCTCACAGGCAGATTGAGATGGAACTTGGGTTGGTCTCCACCTCCCACCCAGCAGATTGGGGGCCACCTTCTCTCCCCCCACCAGAGCACCTCTCCCCAGCCTCCAGTTTCGACCTGGCCCTGCCAGGCCATCTCAGGTCCTATCCTTGCATTTAAAGGCGTAGGGCCCCACAGCAGAGGGTAAGCCGGAAAGCGAGGAAGCAGCAGTTCTGAGGAACCAAGCTGGTCCTCTCTTCCTCTCCAAATCACGCGGGCCTGGCTGACGTGGCCCGGGAAGAGGGGACAGCCCGGGTCCTGTGGTCGGGGAGCCTATTTATACTGGCTGGGCCATGTTGCAAGCTTTTCCTGCTGGTGAGAGGGACGTCACTGATTGCTGACCTCACCAGAAACGCTGACGCATCTTTCCTCACGCTTGGCTGGGATGGTCAGCGGCCAGGCCTCCTCACCTCCGAGCCACTCCCTGTCCTCCTGTGTATCACTTCACTCTGGATGCTCCGACAGTGGCCCCAGCCCCTGTGCCCTCCAGCTATGCCTTCCTCTTGCAGGCTGCATGGACTGAATGGTGTCTTCCCTGAACTCATGTGTTGAAGTCCTAACCATCGTGTGTCAGAACGTGACTGTATTTGGAAGTTGAGCCTTTAAAGAAGTAATTAAGGGCCGGGTGCGGTAGCTCACGCCTGTAATCCCAGCACTTTGGGAGGCCATGGCAGGCAGATCACTTGAGGCCAGGAGTTCGAGACCAGCCTGGCCTACATGGTGAAACCCCGTCTCTACTAAAAAAATACAAAAATTAGCCAGGCATGGTGGTGGGCACTTGTAGTCCCAGCTACTCGGGAGGCTGAGGCAGAGAATTGCTTGAACCTGGGAGGCAGAGGTTGCAGTGAGCCAAGCTGGCGCCACTGCACTCCAGCGTGGGTGACAGAGTGAGATTCCATCTCAAAAAAAAAAAAAAAAGAAAAGAAAAAAAAAAAGAAGTAATTAAGGTAAAATTGGCCAGGTGTGGTAGCACATACCTGTAATCCCAGCTACTCTGGAGGCTGAGGCAGGAGGCTCGCTTAAGGCCGGGAGTTCAAGGCTGCAGTGAGCTATGAAAGCACCACTGTACACTTAAGCCTGGGCAACACAGCAAGACTTTGTCTCGAAAAAGAAAAAAAAAAGGAATAATTAAGGTAAAATGTGAGTGGGCCCTAATCCAATGTGAATGGTGTCCTCATAAGAAGAGATAAGGCCAAGCGCGGTGGCTCGCTCCTGTAATCCCAGCACTTTGGGAGGCTGAGGCAGGTGGATCACCTGAGGTTAGGAGTTCGAGATCAGCCTGGACAACATGGCGAAACCCTGTCTCTACTAAAAATACAAAAATTAGCCTGGCGTGGTGGCACACGCCTGTAATCCCAGCTACTCAGGAGGCTAAGGCAGGAGAAGCGCTTGAACCCAGGTGGCAGAGGTTGTAGTGAGCTGAGATCGTGCCACTGCACTCCAGCCTGGGTGACGGAGCTAGACTCTGTCTCAAAAAAAAAAAAAAATCGATTAGGCCACGGACAAGCAGAAGGAACATGATGTGGAGATACGGGGAGAGACAGTCATCTACAAGTCAAGGAGAGAGGCCTTGGGAACCAGCCCTTGATTTCAGACTTCAGCCTCTAGAACTGTGAGAAAATAAATCTCTGTTACGTAAGCCCCCCAGTCTGTGGTACTTTGTTATGGGAGTCCTAGCAATGTAATCTACCTGCTCTCCTTACCTTCAGTGACTCTGAGCCCTGGGCCCTGTGCCTGACACCCTCATTAACTATGTGCAAAGAGTATGGTCTTTGGGCCTCGTTTGAATGCCTTCTTTTCTTGGTGGGTTTTTTGTTTTTTGTTTTTTTTAAACAGGGCCTTGCTCTGTCACCCAGGCTGGAGTCCTGTGGCATGATAATGGCTCACTGCAGCCTCAACCTTCGGGGCTCGAGCGATCCTCCTGCCTCAACCTCCCTAGTAGCTGGGACTTCAGGTATGCACTACGATGTCTGGATAATTTATTTTTACATTTTCTGTAAAGACACAGTCTCGAAGTCCTGGGCTCAAATGACCCTCCTGCCTCGGCCTCCCAAAGTGCTGGGATTACAGGCGTGAGCCACCATGCCTGGCCAAATGCCCCTCTCCTCTTAACTATTCATAGGTGACCTCAGACAAAGCAACCTCCTCTCTCTGCCATGAGGAGACAGCACGGCCTCCCTGGACCACAGGATAGATAGAATAAGATAAAGGCATGTGGCTGTTTCTCACCAAGCGTGGTGGTCGGTCAGCCACAGCTGAAAATGGCCTAGACCCCTCTGCTCAGATCTGGCGCTCCTTCCTTGAGCCAGCCCCTAAACTTCCCAGAGCTTCGAGCTCCTCACTGAAGTGAGCTGAGGTGTCACTGCCCAGCGGCTTCTCTCCCCTGGCTGTTGCAGGATGAGATCGGTGGCTGGGTGCTGTGGCTCACGCTTGCAATCCCAGCACTTTGGGAGGCCAAGGCAGGAGGATCATTTGAACCCAGGAGTTTGTTATCAGCCTGGGCAACATAGTGACACCCCGTCTCTACAAAAAATAAAAAAATTAGCTGGGCATAGTGATGCATGCCTGTGGTCTCAGCTACTCAGGAGACTAAGGCGGGGAGCCTTGCTTCAGCTTAGGAGCTGGAGGCCACAGTGAGCTACCTACAATGGCGCCACTGCACTCCAGCCTGGGTGACAGAGCAAGATCCTGCATTTAAAAAAAGAGAAAAAAAGACGAGATCAGGGATGTGAAATGGAGAAGGATCCCCTCTTGGCATGGCCCCAGGAAACAGCATTGTGGGGGTGGGCACAGAGATGAGGACTTCAGCGGAAGCGACATTCTCAGGATGAGAATCCAGAACTGGCCCCTGGGGGTGGTGAGGGGGAGGTATGAGGCCTGGTGTGGTGAGTCCCAGCCTGGGTGCCGGGGAGTGGGTAGGGGCTGAAGAGCAGCCTCCTGGGCGTGGGGTCGCCTATTTTTGCCTACTACGTGATCCTCAGACCTGGGAGTGGCTGGTGCAGCATGGAGCCAAATAAAGGTTTGTCGAATGAATAAATGAGTGATGGGGAGAATGGGTGGCAACTGCCTTGGTGGCCACAGTGGGCATCGGGAGCAGGCATGGACAGGGGTGCATCCAACCTCCTCCTTTCTGGCTGCCCCAGCTCTCCTTGCTCAGGCGCCCCAGACCCCATGCTCCCTCCAGCTGGAGCAGCTCAGGCCTCCCTGGCAGCCTCCAGGAGTCCCACCCTGACTCCCCAGACTCCTGAGGGCCTCCTCCCACCCGGGCTTCTTAGGGTGCAGGCCAAGGACCCTCCTCTGGGCCTGGGAGATGTGCTGACCAGGCAGGGTCTATAGGCCTGGGCCAGCCTCTTGGCCTCCCTGTCTGCCTTCACCCAGGCCTCAGTTTACCCCACAGTAAAGTAGCAGTTTGACTAGGGAGGCGCTGTTCCCAGGGCCCTTTCGCAGAGGACCAACCTAAGATCGCTATCTTTCAGAGAAAGTGAAACCTGGTCCCCAACTGTCAAGGCGGCAACTCCCCCTCCCCGGCTTCCCCTCTGAGCTCACAGCTTCCCCATCTCCTCCTTCCCCCATCCCGCCCCCTCGACAGCTAATACTTGGAATCAGACCTTCATCTTTGCTTTTTCCTTCAGAGGTCTTTTCCTTTTATGTCCATGCTGGCAGCAACCCTGTGAGGTGGGCTGGGAAAGGCTTTTCTCCTCCTCATTTTATAGTTGTGGGTCTCTGAGGCCCAGAGAGGTTAAGTGACTTGCCTCAGGTCACACAGCACCTCAGCAGGCTTGAACCCTGGCCTCCTGTTTCTCTTGCTCCAAGTGTCCAGTTCTCCCCAGTGGAGCCTGCCTACAAAGACAAGGCCTGGCTTTGGGGAGTGGGCCTGGCAGAGGGTGCACGATGGGGGAAAGGAGACCGTCGGGAGCCGGGCTGGGGGATGCTGGTCCTGGGGCCTGAACCACAATCTCGGGGCTGCCAGCCTGCGTCTGGCTCTGTGCCCAGAGCCCGGTGGTTTCCGCTCACAGATGTCCCAACAGCCCCGGCGAGAGGGCAGGAAGGGCACTCAAGAAGGAAGATGTCTCGCTCCCCTCAGCCCCCAACCACCGTGTCCTGTGAGGCCAATGGCTCCTGGGCCAAGACTGGCCTGGGGCCTCCAGAGGCCCAGCTCGAAGTCCCTCCTGCCCATCCCTGGCCCAGTTCCCTGAAGATGGCATGGACCCTTTTCCTCCCCACTCACCCTAGGAAGGCTGAGGCTGCGGTTTTACATCATCCTTGGGCGTAGGGCTGACCTCGAAGAACGAATTCGAAGAAAACAGGAGGAGGAGCGGGCATACACCGCGCCCTGCGCCCATTGGCCGCCCGTGGAAATTTTGGTTTTTGGGGTCATGTTCCCAGAAGGCCTGCCCTCCCCCCTCCCCATCCCCACCCACCTCATGAGGTGTTGGCCAATCGCCCCAGCGGGCATAAAGTGGCTGCCAGCCTGCAGGGCTCCCAGCCGAGAGGTGTCACCCCCAGCGGGCGCGGGCCGGAGCACGGGCACCCAGCATGGGGGTACTGCTCACACAGAGGACGCTGCTCAGTAAGTACTTCCTTCCTCCCCGCCAGAACCCGCCTGCTGGGTCTGCCCACGGGTGCCGGTGGGGAGCAGAGGCACCCTCTGCCCTCCGGGAACTGGGGAGGCCAGGCGCCAGGCAGAAGGATGCTGAGAAGGGGAGAGAGCCAGGAGGTCAGGCAGAGAGAGTGGTCCACTGAGAACCTGGCATCTCCACAGGTAGAGAAGGGGCATCCCTGGAAGGCTTCCAGGGGGAGGTGATGTCAAGATGTAGAGGCAACTCTGGGAACCAGGGGGTGAGAGAATAGGATGGGCAAAGAGGCTGGGCAGGAGAGGGAGGCTCAGAAGCTGGGCAGGGAAGTGGTGTGAGGTGTGGAGGGGTTGTGGGGCCTCCAGCTTGCCCGGGATGAATAGAAAGTCAGCCAGGCCTGGGGGCCCCAGGGCCCACACAATCACACAGCATGCACAGCCACACCCACATGGCCACATGCGCACACAGCCATATGACGTCATCTACAGCCCTGGATCTCACCAGCCCAGGAACCCCCACATGCAGACCAGAGTCCCCATGGTGAACGGAACAGGTCTCCCTCACGCCGCACACAGACCCAGATGCACAGCCACACAGAAACCCCAGTCCCACGTGCGCTGCCACAGGCACAGGCCCCTGCCAGAGCCCGGCAGCAGATACCTGGGGAGGCGGCGAGGGTGCCGTGGGGTCGCTAAGCCTGGGTGCCTGGCCCCTTGGCCCTCCCCAACAGCCAGTCTTCCCCAAAGGGCCGGATGGTTCTTAGGACGGGAACGATGGTGTCACTGCCTTCCGGGCCATTGCGCCATAGGCCCCTTCCGACCACGTGGCTGCCGGTGCCCCGTTGGGGGTGGTGGTGAGCGGTAACTGTACCCGCCCCCAACACCTTCTGACAGGCTCACAGCATCCCTGGTGGGCCTGACAGAAGGAGCCACTTATGGAGAGAGGAGGGAGGCAAGAGAGGTCAGGGGAGAGCCCTGGCCTTGTGTGACCTGAGTAGGACCTTCTCCTGAGACTTGGTTTACCTGTCAGGAAAGTGGGGACATGGACTGGAAGGTCTTCCACATCTGTTCCAGGCTGCACCTCTGGTTGAAAAGGCAGCCTCTCCTGGTTCTAGACAGAGCTGAGGACACAAGCTGCTCCCGGGCTGCCTGCCCTGAAGCCCTCTCAGGCCCATCTACCTGGATGGCCAGAGCAGCTGACAAGGCAGGTCCTAGGGCAGTGGCCGGTCTTTAGCCCAGTGGTCTTGCAGGGAGCCAGTCCCACCTTGCAGAGAGTCAGCTCCCGAGGTTAGAACCGTGCTGTAGGCAGGACTGGGATCCGGCCAGGCACTGCAGCCTTTGCTCAAAGACCTACTTGGTAAATCGCAGCCACTGTCTCAGTCCCTCCCACTGCTTGCTGTGTCAGGCCCTGGGCAGTGACTTACTGGGGAGATGATGGTGGCCTTGGTGGGCACACCTGGGCACACACCGTGCCACACAGTGCCCAGCCCCCGCCCTCCACTACACAAAGTCTGGGATGAAGGAGGCACCTTTCAAGGCCCTCTTGAACCCCCTCCCCGAGGCTCCCATCTGTGGCTTTCCTCACCAAGTCAGGTGACACCCCTCTTCTCTGCCTTAGGTCTGGTCCTTGCACTCCTGTTTCCAAGCATGGCGAGCATGGCGGCTATAGGCAGCTGCTCGAAAGAGTACCGCGTGCTCCTTGGCCAGCTCCAGAAGCAGACAGATCTCATGCAGGACACCAGCAGACTCCTGGACCCCTATGTAAGCACCTGGGCCCTTGTGGCATCTGAGTCTCAGAGAACTATGGGGTTAGGAAGGGAGTGAGAAGCAGGGAGGACAGGCCTAGCCCCACTCCATATGGCCAGGTCGGGGAACTGAGTCGCTATGTTATTCCAGCCTTAACCCTGAGGAGCTAAGGCTGGCCCTCCAGCTTTCCTAGCTCTGTGGTCCCGGGGCGGGACTCCGGACACCATCACCATGCTCACCTGCTTACTCAGTGTGTTTCCTGCACACCTGCCAGGCTCTGGTCTAGGCACTGGGACGTAGCAGTGAGCAAGACAGAGTCCAGCCCTCTTGAAGCTCTTCATTCCCCACGGGCATCCCACCAGCCCCCCAACATCACTCCGACCTTGCCTGCAGTGATCTTGGGGTCCTCTTCCCTCTCGGGCCTCAGTTTCCGGATCTGTCCAGTGGGAGATTGGATTGGGGTGCATGAGGTCTAGCATTTCAAGGCTTACTTGTCTGTGAGTGTGGTCCGGATCCTCAGCATTCACCCTGTGATCCTCCTGTTCCCGCCAGATACGTATCCAAGGCCTGGATGTTCCTAAACTGAGAGAGCACTGCAGGGAGCGCCCCGGGGCCTTCCCCAGTGAGGAGACCCTGAGGGGGCTGGGCAGGCGGGGCTTCCTGCAGACCCTCAATGCCACACTGGGCTGCGTCCTGCACAGACTGGCCGACTTAGAGCAGCGCCTCCCCAAGGCCCAGGATTTGGAGAGGTCTGGGCTGAACATCGAGGACTTGGAGAAGCTGCAGATGGCGAGGCCGAACATCCTCGGGCTCAGGAACAACATCTACTGCATGGCCCAGCTGCTGGACAACTCAGACACGGCTGAGCCCACGAAGGCTGGCCGGGGGGCCTCTCAGCCGCCCACCCCCACCCCTGCCTCGGATGCTTTTCAGCGCAAGCTGGAGGGCTGCAGGTTCCTGCATGGCTACCATCGCTTCATGCACTCAGTGGGGCGGGTCTTCAGCAAGTGGGGGGAGAGCCCGAACCGGAGCCGGAGACACAGCCCCCACCAGGCCCTGAGGAAGGGGGTGCGCAGGACCAGACCCTCCAGGAAAGGCAAGAGACTCATGACCAGGGGACAGCTGCCCCGGTAGCCTCGAGAGCACCCCTTGCCGGTGAAGGATGCGGCAGGTGCTCTGTGGATGAGAGGAACCATCGCAGGATGACAGCTCCCGGGTCCCCAAACCTGTTCCCCTCTGCTACTAGCCACTGAGAAGTGCACTTTAAGAGGTGGGAGCTGGGCAGACCCCTCTACCTCCTCCAGGCTGGGAGACAGAGTCAGGCTGTTGCGCTCCCACCTCAGCCCCAAGTTCCCCAGGCCCAGTGGGGTGGCCGGGCGGGCCACGCGGGACCGACTTTCCATTGATTCAGGGGTCTGATGACACAGGCTGACTCATGGCCGGGCTGACTGCCCCCCTGCCTTGCTCCCCGAGGCCTGCCGGTCCTTCCCTCTCATGACTTGCAGGGCCGTTGCCCCCAGACTTCCTCCTTTCCGTGTTTCTGAAGGGGAGGTCACAGCCTGAGCTGGCCTCCTATGCCTCATCATGTCCCAAACCAGACACCTGGATGTCTGGGTGACCTCACTTTAGGCAGCTGTAACAGCGGCAGGGTGTCCCAGGAGCCCTGATCCGGGGGTCCAGGGAATGGAGCTCAGGTCCCAGGCCAGCCCCGAAGTCGCCACGTGGCCTGGGGCAGGTCACTTTACCTCTGTGGACCTGTTTTCTCTTTGTGAAGCTAGGGAGTTAGAGGCTGTACAAGGCCCCCACTGCCTGTCGGTTGCTTGGATTCCCTGACGTAAGGTGGATATTAAAAATCTGTAAATCAGGACAGGTGGTGCAAATGGCGCTGGGAGGTGTACACGGAGGTCTCTGTAAAAGCAGACCCACCTCCCAGCGCCGGGAAGCCCGTCTTGGGTCCTCGCTGCTGGCTGCTCCCCCTGGTGGTGGATCCTGGAATTTTCTCACGCAGGAGCCATTGCTCTCCTAGAGGGGGTCTCAGAAACTGCGAGGCCAGTTCCTTGGAGGGACATGACTAATTTATCGATTTTTATCAATTTTTATCAGTTTTATATTTATAAGCCTTATTTATGATGTATATTTAATGTTAATATTGTGCAAACTTATATTTAAAACTTGCCTGGTTTCTAAACCCTCTGTGTCTCACGGTTGTCTTGGAAAGGATTTGGGGTGGTGGAAGGGCAGCCTCTTAGAGAGAGGAGGGACCTTGGTGGCAAGGCCAAAAGCGTCCATGCTCTGGGGATGGGCTGGAGGTCCTTGCTCTGCCTAGGAAGGGAAGTCACATGCCCCAGCCGCCGGGGGCTGTGACTGTGGTGGGGTGGGGTGTCAAACTCAGATGAGGCATTGGTTATGGCCAAATGGGGCTCCCTTGACACATTGGGGATGAGGGGTGTCAAGACGTGGCAGCAAGAGGGGAGGAAGAAAGGCTTGAGTGTGTGGGCTGCTTCTGGGCCCCCATGGGTGTGTGGCTGAGGTCTGTGTGCTGATGGACGTTGCATGCTGATGTGTGTTATATACCAATGTGTGTTGCATGTGTATTTCTCTTACCTCATTTTGAAGCCTGGATGTCAGTGTCCTAATGGAGGCATATGTCTGTATCTGTATTTATGAATGCTTGTAGGCATGGATATCTGGGTGCGTCTCTGCATGCATGTCTGTGCATGTGCAAGCTTAGGTATGTGCCAGTGTGTCCTCTCATATGTGTGTATGTTCCTGGATCACCCTGGGGGACATGGGCACATCCGGCGCCTGGAACATGGAAGGTGCTCTAGGCATTTGTGGAATAAATCAAAGAGTGAGTTCACAGTTACACCCCTGCCACCAGCATCCTGCCTCATGTGGAGTGAGCATGCAGCAGACACGAGGAATGGCTGTGTGCAGAAGAATGAAGAGACCTGGCTGGGCTTGAAATCCTGTCTCAGCCCCGTTCCATCTCTCTGGGTGACCTTGGGAAAATTCCTTCACATCTCTGAGCCTTTGTTTCCTCATCTGTGGAATGAACAAAAGAATAACAGATCCTGCCTTAGACAAGGCCAGTGACCTGGTTTGTGCTTAAAACTGCTTCCTGAAGTGCCCAAGGGGTTAGGGTTTCCATCTGACTCGCAGAAAACTGGGCTCCCCCCGAATGCCCAGGCGAGCACGTATAGGCTGAAAACATGCTGAGGCAAGGGCTCCCAGAGGCAGGTGAGCTTGACTTGGATCGGTCCCTGGCTACCCCCACTTCCTGAAATGGCAAATAGAGCTGGGGATGGGATGGGAACAGGAGGACTTGACATCAGGGTGGAGGAGAATCAGTGCAGAACTCCCTGCAATAGACATGATACATTTTGCAGATGAGAAGACTGAGGCTCAGAGAGTCTGAGTGGCCTGCCCACATCCTCAGACCAAATTAACTGGGGATAGGCACAGTTTGAATTCAGGGCCGTGGGACTCCCAGGCGGATGCATCTTCCTGGTGCCCCTCTTCCTCTGTAACTTGGCTGACAATTTCATGAATTCCTGAAGGCACAGAGCTCCAGGGCAAGGGGCAGACAGACAATAGACAGGCACAAGGACCAACAGGAGCATCTGCGATTGCAGGATGAGCTCAGCAAAAATAAAGCAGGGTGATGTAACAGCAGCGGGAGAGCCAGGCGCTGCGAGTGGTCAGAGTGGCATCTGGAGAGGTGATGTCCACACTGTGGTCTGAGTGACGTGCAGATGGGGAGGCGGGAAGAGCTAGGGCAAAGGCTCTGAGCATTCAGGGATCAGAGTATCATGAGTGAGGGCATCAGGATTTACCCAAAGGCCCAGAGAGGGGACGCATCTTGCTTAGGGTCACAGAGCAAAGTAGTGCAGGGCTGAGGCTAGAACTCCAGGCCCCTAACTCCCAACCAGCAGTCTTCCTGGGAAGCTCTCTGAAATATTCCAGCCTATTTACCAAGTACCTAGCAAGAGCCTCCCGCGGCCCCCACTGGGCTCCCCCTTGCCCTCAGGGGTCCTACCATAACGGCCATCTTTTGGCTCCCAAAATGCCTGGGGCTCCTTCCTACCACAGGGTTTCTTCTTATGCTGTTCCCTCTGCCTGGAATGCTGTTCCCCGTCCTGTTTGTCAAGTTAGCTCCTTCCTTGTCAGATCTCAGCTGGAGGATGCATCCTTAGCAATTCTTCCTCACCTGTCCAGAGTCTGGGTCCAGGAACTTGGTTGTGCCGTCCCTTCTGGCAGCACGCACTCTGTGTGGTGTTCACATTCCCAACTGCATCTCTTATTAGCATGGAGGACGGAGACCGAGTCTGCTTTGCTTGATGCTGTCTCTGCATCCGCATGGTGCCTGGTGCACAGTAGGCGCTCAAGGAAGAGCAGGGCAGGTGGGGCCCCGCCTCCCAGCCCCAAGGAGAAGACAGAGGCAAATGTGTTGCTGGGGGAAGCAGAGGCACCGAGGCCTGCACCAGGGAGCCCATCCTAGACAGGTGCCACCCCCACGCTCGGCCTGCCCTGGCTCCAGGCCCCGCCAACAGCAGAGTGGGGGCCCTCACTTGTGTCTCCCTGCCCCAGCTGGGGGAAGAGGGTTTCCTCCACCTCAGCTGCTGGGAAGCTGTGGGTGGGAGGTGGCAGACACCAAAAGCCAGGTACACTCTGGTTCCCGGAGCGGAAGAGGAGCAGGCACCGCAGCTGACGCTGGGGTTGCCCTCCAGGAGGGCAGAGGTTGGCCTGTGGAGGAAAAGCTGGGAAGCCCAGCATGGCTGCCTGACCCCTGGCCATCCCCTACCTCTCACTGCCCAGGAGAGGAGTCTGAGGCTGACTTTGAACTAGAGCACACCCACCCCACAGGAAACAGATGGGGGAGCTTGACTCTGGGAGGGGGTCTCAAGTACACTGTCTATGAGGACTTGTCACCCCCGTAACATCTCCTGAGGAGTCACAGTTGCAGGTAACCCCAAACTACCACCTGCAGTCTGATCCCTCCCAAGGCCAGATCCTACAGACCCAGCTACCAGGATAGTCTCCTGACTTAGTGGGTGCCTTGAAGCCAAACTCACCGTTCTGCCCCCAAACCCTGCACTTGCTTTCTGCTTCTCATTTGCCCCTACTAAAGTTCCAGAATCCCAGCCCATTGCCTTTATCTCCCTCGGCCCCTCCTCTCCCCTCCATCACTCGGTCCTGTGGTCTCTCCCATACCCGTCTCTTGCAGGCGACTCCTCTCCCCATCGCCTTCCAGGGTCTGGATCCCTGGACACAGCCTAAAAGTATCACTATTGTCCTATCTTCTCCTGCTTGCAAACCTTCCGGAACTCCCTCTTATCCTAGTGCACAGAGCATCCATTCCTAACTCCTGGCTGCAGCATCAGAGGCCCCCAGCTCTCAGGCACGGCCCATGTTGCCAGTCATCTCTGCATTCTATCCACTCAGCTGCTCCCACCCCTGCATGCAGCCTGGGCTCCCTATTCCCCCTCAGCTCTTCTTTTTTTTTCCCCCTTTGGAGAAACAGGGTCTCACTGTCTCGCCCAGGCTGCAGGACAGTGGCACGATTGTGGCTCACTGCAGCCTCGACCTCCCGGGCTCAAACAATCCTCCCACCTAAGCCTCCTGGGTAGCTGGGACTACAGGCCACCACCGTGCCTGGCTAAATTTTTAATTTTTGTAGAGATGGGATCTTGCTATTTTGCCCAGGCAGGTCTCGAACTCCTGGCCTCAAGCAACCCTCCCACCTCGGTCTCCCAAAGTGCTGGAATTACAGGCATCGGCCTCTGTTCCTGGCCCCCCTCCCTATTTCTTACATCCTCCTGCCCTTGAGGCCAAGCACAGATGCCCCCACCTCTGTGATTGCCCCACCCAGAGGGGCTTGTGGGGCAAGCTCCCACTTGGAGTTTCCATCAGACAGAGGCAGAACGGGGCCTTGTCAAATCATCCTGCCGACTCCACAGCACGGACTGCTGTGTGATGGGTCCCCACGACCATCCACCATGAGAGGCAGCAGGATGGGGCCCTCTGAGCAACCGCTTTGTTGCCACAGTGTGCGAGAGCTGACGCTCTGCTAGGCACACTTTCCCTGGAGGGACGGGGCCTTCAGCGCCTGCAAAGAAGTGTGTGCTCCCGGCACTGACTCACATAAGGGACAAAGGCGTCACGAGCAGCCGTCCGCTGGCACCAGGCTAAGGAAGATAAAGAGATCCTGGTGCAGTCCAGCCGCTGAATCTACTCGAAGCTGGGTTCTCTTTTTCTTTTTTAAGTTTTTCAGGGCGGCGGTCCGGGACTCTCAGTCAATGCTGCATGTCACACACATGGGTTAAAAGTTCCCTAGGACAGCAAAACTACAGGAAAAGGCGGGGAGGGGTCCTGGCACATTTTGTTAATCTACAGAACAAACTCAGCGTAGAAACAGCAGAGCCAGGATGCGAACCCGGGCCTCTGTGGCCTTAGACTCTTTGCTGCAGGTTTTCATGTGATTTTTTTTCTTCCCAGGGATGAGTTTAAAATACTTTAGAGTTACACAAAATGAGTTAGACCTCAGCCCCCTAGCTGGGTACTCTGCCCGGGCTGAGCCTCAGTTTCCCCTCTGTACAATGGGGCCAACTTGGCCCACCTCCCAGCTGTGACAAAGATTCCCTGGGAGATGGCACAGACACGACGTTATTGGCAGGGCCGTCCCTGACCCAGTGTGGCTGAGGCTCTCTCTCTTATTTCCTCTTTCCCTCCTTAGTGGTTTTCTTTCTTCTCGGCACTTTTCTCTTTGTCCCTGTCCTGTCACCTGCCCTGCCTGCCTCCCACCCTCCACCAGGGGCTGGGACATGGGGTGCCCACAAAAGCCCTTTTTCAGTGCCGAGGAAGGGTCACAGTCCATGCTCCTTTGGAGTGGGGAGGCCCTCCCAAGGCCGGCCCGGCTCCCTACGTCTCAGGACGTCTGAGGGCTGGGCTCGGGGAGGGGCGAAGGTCTCTGAGGGAGGGGGTTGGGCAGGCGGGGCCCTGGAGTTTGTGGCAGGGGTGGATCAGATGGGCCAGGTGGCGCCCCAGGTTTGGAGGTGGCTGCTGGGGCAGGGAGTGGTGGCCTGGGAGGGGGCCCAATGTCTCGTGGGGGGAGCTGCAGCCCTGTGACTCTTCTGGGGACAGGGACAAGGGGAGGCTGGATGTGCTGCACACGGCCTGTGGCAGGTCTGAGTCAAAACACCTAAGGCCGACCCCTGCGGTCATGCGGAGGGCTGCCCAGTCATCGCCTTATGCCGGCCTGGGTCACTCAGGCAGGCGGGGCGCGGCCCCGTCAGCTGTGACTCAGGCCCCAGCGGCCTCGCCACGCAGCACTGGGCAGGGGCATCGGGCACAAGGACGCCCCCTCCCCACACCCCGGCCCTGCTTCTCCCCTTGGCTCCCAAGACCCTGCCCCAACCTGTGTCAGGCACAGACTGGGTGGGAACCCAGGGCCCTCTGCACCTACTGCCCCCAGCCCTTCAACTGGAGGTGGGGGGTGGAAGTGGGGGTAGCGTCAGGGCCACCCAGCTCTGGACGGGAAGTCAAGTTGGGGGCGGGGTGAGGAGCCGACTCCAGAGAAGATCCAGCAGGAGAGGGAAGCAGAGGGGGCCTGGCCCGGAAGACGATGGTGTCCCACTGAAGACCTGGCAAACCTTCCAGATCCGGAGCGGCGTGTGCAGGCACAGACCACGGTAGGCTTCTCCCAGGGGCAGGGCCGGGGGTAGAGGCCAGCCTCCAAATTTATCCTCCACCAAAGCAAATATCACTCACTCCCTTGTGGGTCAGGGGGAGATCTGGTGGCCCACACACGCTCCAGGCCTCAGTTTCCCCTTCTATGCAATGGACATGGTGAGATAAGCCCCGAACATCTCTCTGAGGATGTTGAGGCTAAGCAGGAGAGAACGGATGCGAAAGTGTCATGTGGACATGTGAGGGTTTAAAGAGCATCAAAGGGTTAAAGGGCAGAGGAGAGAGCTCTGGACATGGTGGCTGGAAGGAGGCCTGGATTTGAATCCTGGCTGTTTGGGACCCTGGAGGGGTCAGTCATCTGGGAGTTTTGAGTCCTGGATTCCCAAGGGACCCTCAAGTTCTCTTTTCCCCAGAGCAGTACAGGGGACCCAGCCCATGAAGACCTCGGTTTCCTTCTGATGGAGAGGTGGTTCCTGTATAGGAGGCTCCAGCGTGTGTGGTCAGTCAAGTTCAAGGCCCCTGTGCTTTTGGCCTTGGGCCAGTGCAGGACTTGACTGCACTGTGCCTCACTCACTGTGTAAAATGGATCTAATTATGGGATCACTGTGGCGAGAAAGGAAAAATATAGGTAAAATCCTTGCACAGAGCCTGGCATGAGAGGGAAAGGGGCTCGACCCCAATCTTGCTATCAGCAACTCCCGAGACCTGGGGAGAGGCTTCCGAGGGGATAGGGAAACTGTCTCCGGGGTGGGCCAGTCCTGGGTCTGGATGCTGGGGTTCCCTGGCACGCTGGGGCAGGGTGGGGACCTGGGCTCTGCCCCACGTGTCCCTGGTTTACTTGGTTTACTTTACCTCTGTGGGTCTTAATTGTCTCCTCTGTAAAACGGTGATTGTAATTCCCATTTGGAAGAATTGTCATGAGGACCTGTAAATGGGGGCTGGGGAGAGAGGACGTCCTGGAAGTCTGAGGGAAGTGGGACGCGGCAGCAGGGCCAGGAGAGAAATTCTTCTCCCCCTTCCTCCTCTTCCTCCTCCCAGAGGCTCCGCCAGGCAGAGGCACGTGGTCCTGGCACCCCCTTGTGGCCGGTCCTCAGGGCTTCCCCAGGAGGTGCTGGACATGGCATAGGCTCCTCCAAGACCCCCTCAGTGGTGCCCCCTTCTCCAGCCTTGGCCTGTATCTGCCCACTCTCCATTCTGAGTCTCAGGCATCCCGGCTCACTTCCTCAAATCCCCAAATGCCATCCCGCCTAGCTCTAGGGGAGGCCCCGGCTGCAGGCTGGCCTGGGGCTGGCGGGGCCGTGGCCGCAGGGCCTGCTGCCCGCTGGGCAGTGGGGGGCGCTGCAGCCCGTGGTTTGGAGCCGGGCTAGGTGATTGGGTGTCTTTCATATGCTGGTCTGGGAGCCCTGGACCTGGACTCTCCCCTAGCCCTGGGCCCAGCTTTCCTGGGGACCTGGGTCTCTCTCTCTATCCCCCACCACTGCTCCCCACAAGCCACTCTTCAGATAACCTTTTCTTTTTCTCTTTTCTTTCTTTCTTTTTTTTCCCTCTTTTTTTTTTTTTTTTTTTGAGACGGAGTGCAATGGTGTGATCTCAGCTCACCGCAACCTCCACCTCCTGGGTTCAAGCGATTCTCCTGCCTCAGCCTCCCGAGTAGCTGAGATTACAGGCATGTACCACCATGCCCAGCTAATTTTGTATTTTTAGTAGAGATGGGGTTTCTCCATGTTGGTCAGGCTGGTCTCGAACTCCCAACCTCAGGTGATCTGCCCACCTCGGCTTCCCAAAGTGCTGGGATTACAGGCGTGAGCCACCGTGCCCGGCCCCAAAGAACCTTTTCTAGACACTTTGGGACTCATGGACTTATCTAGAAAGGGAAACTGAGACTCTGAGAAGCTTCCTTCTGGAATTCTCACAAGCAAATCAGGACTGAAACCCAGGGTTCCTAGCTCTCTGTCTGGGAGTTCAAGAGAGGCCACTAGTCCACATACTACTGGGAATGTGCCACTAATTTGCTGTGTGGCCTTGGAAAAGCGACTTCCCCTCTCTGGGCCCCACAGCTAAGATAATATCAATAACACAGCCTGGTGCAGTGGCTCATGCCTGTAATCCCAGCACTTTGGGAGGCTGAGGCAGGAGGATTGCTTGAGCGGGGGTGATTGAGGCTGCAGTGAGCTATGGTGGCACTACTGCACTCCAGCCTGGGCAACAGAATGAGACCCTGTCTCAAACAATAGCAATATCAATAACCAAGCCATGTTTTCCATGCTGGCCAGCCTTTGCAGAGGACATTGCTGACCTCACAGGTTGACAACACTGTTACCCCATTTTGTGGACGTTGGAACTGAGGCCTGAGCGATGAGGCCACCTGCCCGAGGCTGCACAGTTCGTAAGTGGCCAAGGTGGGCCTGGACCTGGGGTCTGGCTGATTCCAGAGCCCACTTAGCCTCCTCCCCTCCACGGCGCAGCCTCATCTCTTCTCCGAGCTTTTCCTTTACCAAGTGGGGATGCTGAGGCCAGCAGGGGCCAAGATGGGCCCTAAGTCCCCCACCCCCACCCGGCAGGTGGGGGTGGCACAGGCCACTGTCCTCCCTCTGCAGGGGTCTCCTGCTGCCAGCCCTCTGGCTAGGGTGGACTTTGGGGAGACCTCAACAGCTGAGAGGTTCACAGAGAAGCTGGCTCTCTGGACAGCCCACCATGAATGACACCAGGCCGGGGCGTTGGTCCCACCCAGAAAGGGAGGAGATGGAAACAGGGTCCAGGGGTGGGGTGGGGGCAGAGGCTCGGCTGGGCAGAAGATCAGAGCGGGATTGTGTCATGCAGTCCTGTGGCTTATCAGCCACTGGGCGGCCTGGTCCAGGCAGGAGGGGCTGCCTGGGGAGTGACTCTGTGGGGACCCCCCCTGGGCCTGGCTGCTCAGACCACACCTGGGCCTCCCGGGTCCTGTTTTAGGGAGGCTGGGGGTAGGGGGCTGGGGTGGAGACCTGGCTCCATTACACACTGTGTGACCTGGGACAAATCATTCCACTCTGTGAGCCTCAGTTTCCGAGTCTGTCAAATGAAGTTTAAAATGCCTCCCTCAGAGAATGCGGGTTAGGGTTTGAGCCCATAGCGGGTTCTGGTGAGCACTTGGTAATGCTTGGTTTTGTGGGGAGGGGGTGGGAGAGAGGCTTATGAAAGCCTTGGGGGCCTGTGCCCCAAGAAGGGCACTACTCCGGGCTGGGAGGGTCCTGGAGGTCTAGGGGGACCCAAGGGTGCAGGACTGGTGGGGGACAGGTATTACGACCCCGTTGCAAGACACAGAGGGAAGCCTGGCCCCTCCAATCCCAGGTTCCACCAGCGGCTCCCCCACCCGGCCCCATCCCTCCCCTCACCCCAGGAAGCTCACTCTTCCTTCTCTTCCCAGGGAAGAGGATAGTCCAACCTCAGCCAGGTCTCACCCCTCCATCCTCCCCACCCAGTGGGATGGGACCACTTTATTCTTTCCATGTCATCACTGTCGCCAGACCGGAGGCTCCCATCACCCTCCCACCCACAATCCTCAGAACAATCCTCAGGCTCCCCTGGGTGCTGGGTCGGGTCAGGGTGGCCCCAGTGAGCTTGGCTGGGGGAGGGGAAGGAGAGGAGGCCAGGCCCACACCTCTGCACGGCCAGTTTCAGGCTGAATAGGTCCTCGGGCTGCTTCCTGTTCTGTTTATGGCCTCTGAGTCCAGGAAATCATTGAGTGACACGTCCCTCCTTTACCCCCCAGCCCCATGATTATTTAATAGGGGCCGCTGTGGTCTCTCTCTTTTGGAAAATCCAGTGGGAGAAGAAAGCTGTCAGCTCGCCTCTGACATCAGCTTTGTCCCTGTGCCAAGAGTCAGGGTGGCCAGGGCGTTGTGGAGCGGGGGGCTGGGGCGGGGTAGGGAGGAAGCCAGCTGCTGGTGGCCCCTGTGACGTGAGGCTGCCACATGGTTCCCAGGGGCGGGGGCTGGAGGGTGAGGAGCAGGGATTGTTGGAGACACACGCCGGGGCACACGCAGGCCTGGAGGCTCAGAAACGCATGCGTGCACGCCCAGGGTTAGGCCTCCCCCCTCTCCGAGCCGTCGTGCCCAGGGATCCACAGTCCTACACAAACTCATGCAGACACAAGGCCAGACACACAGTCGCACTGGCTTCATGCCCATGGGCACACGCGCACGCGTGCGCACACACACAGACTCACACAACCACACGGAGAACTCACAATAGCAGCCAGAGATGTGCACCGTCTAGCTCGCTGTCACACAAAGCAAACAGTACAAGCAGATCCACACACATGCACACACATGCATACACCACACATGCACACACGGGACCAGACACAGGCATGCACAGACACAGAGGCACTCACTACACACACATGCTCAGGCAAATGCCCACTCAGACTCAGACAAAGAGACTCAGCCATGTCCCAGGGCCACAGGGAGCCCAAGTGTGCACCCTCTACTGCAGGCTGTGGCTCTTGGCCTCAGGCTGCCCTGGGAAGGTGGCTGTGGCCACTTCCTCTTCCCGCACCCTGTGGTGAGGATGAAAGACTCCCTGGTGGAGTACGAAAGAAAGGCCTGTGACTGTCCTGGGCTCCACCCAGGTGGGACGGGGCAGGGCAGAGAGCCCAGGGGTCCGAGGCTGCGGAAGGGAGTGGACAGTGAGAGGTTGGGCTCTGGAAGGCCTTTGTCACGGCATGGCACAGGGTGCCGCCAGGTTCCCCACGTTGAGCACCTGCTCAGCCCCACCCCGCCCTACCCTGCGGCACCTCTGGCCCATTCCTGAGCTGGAAGGGAAGTCAGGAGCCCCGTGAGACACTGCTGAGTGACCTTGGGCAAGTCACTCCTCAGCCCCTCTGGGCCTGCTTTCAACATCGATACCAGTGGCTTGCAAATGTTTTTGACTGCCACCCACAGTAAGAAATACATTGCACCTTGCAACCAGATGAGGATGCAGATACTGACATACAGACAACCGGAAAAAAAGTTTCATGGAGCAATCCTCGCCCTGGCTCTGGGCGATGCCAGGTGATTTCGCTATTCCTTTTTGAAAGTGTTGGTGGCAACCCTCTAATTGAATTCATGACCCACGAAGAGGCAGAGGCCTGCAGTGTGAAAACACTGCTCTCTCTATATCTGCCTGCAGTGGTCTCAGGCTAGTTCGAGATTCAGGGAGAGCCTGGGGGAGGTAAAAGTGCTTGCAGAGTCTCAAAGGCCATGCTCACTAAATGCTGATGGCTGGGGTAGACAGCAACCCATTCTACAGAGCCCTGGGGGGGACCGGCCCCACGCAACGCCACGGCCAGGCCTCTGGCTGGCCCTGCCAATGATCAGGGGCTGCTGCTTCCCTTGCAATTTCTATCAGAAATGAAGAAAAAAAATGCAGTCACTCTGATTCATCTCCAGGGGGTTGATTCCTGACACAGTCGGTCGGGAAATGTCGGGTGATGATGGGAGCAGTTGGCAGAAGTCCAGGGTGGCTTCTGGCTTCTCCTTGGCCCTGAGGGGATACTGCTGGTCGCTGCCAGAGACTGGATCCGGTAAGGGTGAGAAGGGGCAGGAGATAGGTCCAGCGTCTGGACCTCAAGAGCCCCCAGAAGACAGCTGGGCTCTCCAGGGCCCAGAGATGGGGGAAGTACTGCTTATGTCCCCCCACAAGGTTCTGAGATGCTACCCACTCTCCCAAAACCCACACCAGGCTCCATGAACTAAGCGGACCCAGGAGCCACCTCCTGCCCTGACTCTCGGACTCCAGTGTGCTGACCATGGGACCCAGCCCTAACCCAAGCCCCTGACTCGGTCTGGAGTTTGAGCTCCTTCTGCGGCCACAACCAGATCTTATTAGAAGGGCTGCCATGTGTTAGACGTTTATCCGCATTTCCCAAGAAACATCCCCATGATGGCCCCACGAGGCTGTTATGACAGCATCCTCATTTGCAGAGGGGAAACCGAGGGTATGAGAAAGGAAGCCCGTTGTCCCGGGCCACATAGCTGGTTGTTGGGGCAGGAGGGATTTGAACCCACACCACTGGGGTGAGAACAGTGGAGGCACGGTCCGCTGGTGGCATCACACTCTCACTCCTCAAGCATTGAAGAGTGCGGTGCTCTTGCCTTTTTGGCCAGGATGCCCAATTGGCTGGGCTGTGCCCGGCATTCCTGAGCTTCACCATCTCCTCTGGCCACTCCTCACCAGCCCTGAGCCTGGGACCCACCCTCTGGCCCCCCGCTTCCTTCCTAGGCCCACCTGAGGGCTCTGCTCATTTTCCAGGTACCAGGGCCAGAGGGGATGGGGAAGGAAGGAGGGAGGCCAGCCTGGGCAGCCGGGGGTGCCCGGAGCGCTGTTTCTGGGTCGCTGGTCTTGGGGAATTCCCCAATGCCCGGAGAGCTGCTTACCTGGTGAGTAACTGCTGCTGGCTGCCCACACAGAATGCCTGACTGTGAAGGGACCTCCCATCTCACCCCTGCCCATGCCACTGACATGCTGCCCTCTCTCCTGAGAGCCCCAGGGTCCAGGAAAGAGACAGACAGGCAGGGGGCTGGCCCCCACCCCCGCATCCCCCCCCCAACCCCGGGGCTTTGCAGGGGGCGGCTGGTGATTCAAGCCCCTCAGAGCTGAGTTTGTCTCCTTCCTTCTCACATGGGGCCTGGGGGTGAATCAGCTTCTGGGGGCGGTAAGGCCAGGTCAGCTGCTGTCCTCAGATCAGGCTTGGGGTGGGGGTGGTGAGGGGCCAGGAAGGGGGCTCTGGGGGAGTGAGCACACTGCCCTGCCAGCCCCCTCCCACAACCTGTCTGATTTATCTGGGGCACCCTTGAAGCTGGAGGCTACGTGGGTATCTTGCCTCAATTTACCATCAGCAGAGGCTTGAGAGGTCTTGCTCCTGCCCAGCCTTCCCCGCTCAGCACCCTGGCATGGACCCAAGTTTCCCCATCTGTCAAATGAACCCCTGCTTCACAGGGAGGTCAGCACAATGGGTGATGATATGCAGACAGGTGGCTTGCTGGGTGCCCAGAACCATGCTGAGCCCTGAGCCCTCACAGCAGACCCACAAAGGCGGTACCATTATTCCCATTTTATAGTTGAAGAAACTGAGGCCAGGAGGTGGTAGTCCCTTCCCCAAAGTCACTCAGCTCATAACTGGCAGAGCCAAACCTCCAACCTGGTTGTGAATGAGGCCAGAGTCCATTCTTCAAACCTTCAGGCCTCTCCATCTCCTTTCCACAAGAGAGTTGGCACTGACAGTTTTTGGAAACTATAAAATGCTTTCTCAAAAAATACTTAACCTCTATTCATGTCAGAGTATAGCCCTGAGCCAGGTGCTGTCTAGAGCACAAGTGAGTCTCAGACCCCATTCAAACTCTCAAAGGTTGAGGAATAAGACTCATCCCCACTTGAAACACGAGCAGGCAGGACATGGCCGATGTGAGCTGGTCGGGGCCATGGGAGGCAGGGGAGGCTTCCTGGAGGAAGGCGACCCGAGCACTCCTGCCATGCCCTTCGCCCTCTCAGAGCAAGAGGTGCTGCAGGGATTGTTGTGGCCTGCAAGACAGAAGCCCCGGTTCCAGACCTGGCTCTGTTATTAACTCTTTATGTGAGCCCCACATAGTTATCTTCACCTCTCTGAGCCTCAATTTCCCCATCTGGAAAATAAGCAGCTGTGATATCCCAGGAGAGACTTGTGGATGGGGGGTAACAATCAGCAGAAGACGAGCAGCTGGGTAGCTGCACGTGCTAGAGGGTGCACTCCCTTCCTGGAGAGCAGTGATGGGTTGGATGGCACAGCCACCTGGAGACAGCACTCCTGGGTTCTGGCCTAGTAACCTCTGCTCAATGTCAGGGGGTCCCATGTGGCCGGGACTGTCCCGCTCACCCTGAGACCGGTCAAATCCCCAGCAGGCCCCATCTGCAGGAGCAGGACAGGCTGTGGATGAAGTCACAGCTGGAAGGGGCCAAGCCGGGGCTGCCACTCCAGGGTGGGGCCTGGGGTCGTGACCCTGGGAGCCGGCAGCCAAGAAGGGAGGGTGCCTTCCATGAGGGAGCCGGCCGGGGGCGGGGAACACACACACACAGCATAGAGAGGGAGGGAAGAAAACAAACTCCCAGAGACCAAAGTGGGCCTGGAGCGTAGCCTGGGCGGCTGATTCCTGGGGGCCGCAGCCACGTTGCAGGCGGCACACGGACTTGCGGCTCCGAGACCCTGCCCAGCCTTCCCTCCAGAGGCCCAGAGCAGGTGGTGCCTGGACATGGACAGGAGGGGGAGGCTGGGCCTGGGGCGCCGAGGGGCCCAGAGCACTTGGGGAGCACAAACCAAGTCAGGTACCGTGAGAGGAGGGGAAACTGAGGCACTGGAGGGGCCAGTCAGGGCTGGGGTTAAGGGGCCTTAGTGTCAGTGTCTTCTAGACCCTGTCCTCACTTCCTGTTTCCTGTGGGGTGGGGCTGAGATTAAACAGCGATTGGGGGTGGATTATAGGGCTGATGTGGGGTCTGGCTTGCCAGAAGGCATGCAAGGGCCTGGGGGTCCGCTTGGAAGGATGCAGGGGAGACTGGGCAGAATGGTAGATGTAGGGGCAGCTGCAGAACTCTTGAGCCTAATGAGAGACTCAGGCCGGGCGACGGGGGTTTGATGGGTGGAGGCCACAGTGAGCCCCTGGTCACATGGATTTGGGGTCCATGTCAGGAGAGCCAGGCTGAGTCAGGTGGCAGGGGTCTGGGTGATGTGGGATGGGACTGGGGACTGGTCCAGAGCTCACGTGCTCTGAGTGGTCAGGTCCTTGTGCAGGAGATGCTGGGGGAGGTGTAAGAAGAAGGGTTGAGCTGGGGTGTCCTGGGATGTGGGGTTACCTGAGCCAGGCCAGGGCAGGTGAGTCTCCTAGTAGTGTACGCTGACCCCAGAGCAAGTGTATAGGAGCAGTAAGTGCCAAGTGGGGCCCTCCATGGTCCCTCAAAGAAGAGACAAGGTGTGGGGTGAGAGGCAGGAAGGAGGAAGGAGAGCCAGTTCGGGAAGTGCCAGCTGGGATGGGCAGTTTTATCACCTCACATCCGAGGCCCTGCTGGGAGAGAATGGGGGGCAAGAGCGTAGATAAAGCAGGGTGTGTGTGTGGTGGGGAACGGCAGCAGGCACCAGGGCTCGTCCTGGCACGATGAAGGAGGAACCCGTGGCTGGGCAGGTCTGGGATGTGGCAAGAGGCAGGAACTGGGGGCATGGAGGATGGGCGAGGGGGCGGTGGGGGCCCGGGCGAGGCTGCAAGAGCTCCCTGGCCTTGGAAAACCAACTCACACACCTTGATCTCAGGTCAGGGTCAGGCGGAAGGGCTGGGAAGGGGCCACAGGGGACTAAATCATCTCCTGGTACTGGGGGTCCCCTGGCAGCTTTAGGGACGGCATGGCCCCAGACGCGTGGCCATGCTGTCTGGCCGGCATTCCCGCATCTCATAGGGTGTATTTATTTTCACTTTTCTGTTGCATTTCTTGGAGGTGTCCCTGTGCTCATTTTGCCCGGCTCCCCACTGCTCCTTTCTGCCCTTCCTCATTCACAAATCGCCTGGCCTCAGAAGACGCCAGAACATGTGACACTGCCTTAGAGCCTCTAGAAGCACTTTTTGGGGACCTCCATCATTCTCTGAGGCTGGGCTCAAAGGGGCTTCCAAGGCAGGTCTGGAAGGGACCAGCCACTTCTCAGTTTCCCCAACCATCAATCAGCACCCGGAGGAGGAAACTGGGGTACGATTTCGCCAAGCCTCTCTCAGTCCTGCTTCAGAATGGAAATGCTGGACCGCCTTCCCAGAAGCACCTTCCCAGAGTGTCCCGACAGAACTGAGTCAGTCACCCCTACCCCCATGTCTTCCTAGCCCCTTCCCCAGCCTCACAGGTACAGTGGTCAGCAGGGCGAGTGCACTGGTGGTGTCTGGAGGCCTGACCCTCTGGGGCCCTGGGCAACGTGTTCCCCTCGGAGCCCCTTGGGGCCCAGTGGCAATGTGCAGATTGGAGGAGGCTACCTCTGGGGTGGCTTCCAGCGCCCATGTTCAGTTCCACTTTATGACCGTCTAAAGTCCACGCCGGCCCCGGCCCCTCCTCCTGGAGCCTCCTTCTCAGCCAAGCCCTAGCCCTCCTCCTCCCACTGCCCCCCTAAAGCCCCCCAACCAGGGGGCACAGGGGCCAGTCTCCATCTGCTAGTCCAGACTCGCTACCTCCCCAAACCCAGGTGAGTCAGGGCCGTCTGGGGCGCCCACTGCTGGGACCCCTGCTGACTCGGCCAGGGGCCCCCTCCTGGCGATGCCCATCTTCAGACAACTCCCGGGACAAGCCAGGCAGGAAAACCACAGGGCGTTTTGTCGAAGGCTTCATTATAATTTTATCAATCAAATTCTTAGAAGAGGGAAAAAGTCTGTTCTCCCCACCCTCCCCCCTCACTCGTCCCCCCCCTTCACTCTCACTTTCTTCCATTCATAATTTCCTATGATGCACCTCAAACAACTTCCTGGACTGGGGATCCCGGCTAAATATAGCTGTTTCTGTCTTACAACACAGGCTCCAGTATATAAATCAGGCAAATTCCCCATTTGAGCATGAACCTCTGAAAACTGCCGGCATCTGAGGTTTCCTCCAAGGCCCTCTGAAGTGCAGCCCATAATGAAGGTCTTGGCGGCAGGTAAATACACCCGCCCCGCGCCGGCTTCGCGTCCCCGCTGCGGGGCGCGGCGGCAACTTGGGGCGCTTGGCAGCGCGAGCCGGACGCCCACCCGCCGCAGACACACGAACACTTGGGGCGCCCGCGCAGCCACCGGAGGCGCTGGGTGGCGGCCCGGAGCGAGCGCGGGCACATGGTCCCAAGCACCGCACGCCCCGCGGCAGGTTGGCGGCGAGGGAGGGGGCGCCGAGCCTTCCTCCTCCTCCTCTTCTTCCCCCTCTCCTTCTCCTCCTCCTCCTCCTCGCTCCGGACACTCGCTGGCTGCTCTTCCCTCTGCGCTTTCTCCCAGATTCACTCTCCCTCTCTCTTTTTCTTTTCTTTCTTTCTTTCCGCTTTCTCCTTTCCAACCGCGGTCCCGGGCTGCTCCCAGGGAGGGGCGCGGGCGGCGAGCAGCTTGCAAACTCCGGCCTGGGACGGGAGCAGGTGCCGCCTCCATCTGCTGGTGTCTGGAAGCGTGTGGTCTGCGCTAGGTGAGATATAGGGGTGTGGCCCCCCTCCCGCAGCCACCCCGGGGCCTCAGCACTGCCTTGGGATGCTGGGACGAACAGGGGACCCAGGAGAAGTGAACTTGAGGAGGCCCCTGTCCCCGCTGTTCCAGCATGGGGGATCCGGGGGAGGTCTCCAGCCTCACTCGCCCGCTGACCCCGGCCCCCACCATCTTCAGGTGCCCTTCTGCAGAGCCCTGGAAAAGCGTCTAAGGGGGCCTGGGGGGAGTCGGGAGAACAGGCCCCCCTGGGGGAGGGGCAAACCAGGACATGTCGGGACAGCTCCCAGCTCTCCTGTCACCTTTCACTTTCCTTCCTCCCCGCCCACCCGACTGCCTATGACCTTTTGCCTTTTCTCTCTCCTGGTGCACCATTTCCTCTCCCTCCCTGAGCCGGTGTGTGTGTGTTAGGAGGGAGGGGAACCCCTGGGACAAGGGACAGCGGATGAGTCGGGAGAAGGCATGGAGTCAGGGGCTGTCCGGAGCTGGGGGAACAGAGAGTTTTGAATGATGATTTGGGGATGGAGAGTGGGGACAGCCAGGCAGAAATGGGGTGAGCTTGAGTGAGATAGGGGACACTAGGGAAGGAAGAGATAGAGGATGATGGGGGCGGGGGCAGAATTGGGGGCAATTGGCCCAGGGAGCCAGAATCAAGTGGCAGGTTTGGGAGGGAGATGAGGGTCAACCGAGGACTCCTCCCCACTCCCCCATGCCCCGTGGCCCCCATGGGTGCCTGGCTTCGGAGATTTGGGCTGCAATGGGCCAGTGAGTGGGAAGCGCTGCTGAGGAACCTGGGCCACCACGGGAGGTGGGAAGAGAGGGGTCTCCTTTCTCCTGGTGCCTGCTGGGCCTGGGGCCTGGTGCCTTCCAGCCAGAGGGCCAGGGGGCCTTAGGACCTTTGCCTTCCTGAGGGAAAGGGTGGGATGGCTGGGAGTCTCTCCTGGACCCTGCACCCTTTGGGTGGAAATGGCTTGTGTCTTGCCCTCATCTTTACGTCATCCCAGAAGAGAGCAGGGAGAACTAAGGTAGAGAAAGGGAGACAGAGAAACACACGCAGTGACAGAGTGAAGACTAGGCCCCAGGAAGACAGCTGCAGGTGGTGAGGGGGAACCAGGAGTCCTCTCCCATGCGGCCATTGTTGGACCCCCATCCGGTGTGCCATGACCCCAGGCCACCCTTTCCTGCCTTTCTACTCATGGCTTCTTCCTGACTGTCCCCAGGAGTTGTGCCCCTGCTGTTGGTTCTGCACTGGAAACATGGGGCGGGGAGCCCCCTCCCCATCACCCCTGTCAACGCCACCTGTGCCATACGCCACCCATGTCACAACAACCTCATGAACCAGATCAGGAGCCAACTGGCACAGCTCAATGGCAGTGCCAATGCCCTCTTTATTCTCTATGTAAGTTACCCCTGGGATACTGACAGGAGATGGCAGGGAGGGGGCTTGTAAATATCATTAGGGGCTGTCCTGATCTGGGTTGAGGGGACCTTTTGGGGCTGGAAGGAGAGAATGGGGAGAGGGCTTGATTAAACCACCCCCAGACTCCCGCCACTTCCTGCCCAAGCTTCCCCAGGGAAGCTTCCCCAGGGTGCCCAGTTAGCAAGGGGAGAACTGAGTGCAAAGGTGGGGACCTGGCACTTCTTATCTTGTGATTGTCCTGCTGCAGGGAGCGAGGGATGGAGGGGAAATGGGCGTGAGGCACCAGGGAGATGCGGTTGAGAGGCAGTGGGCTGTGGGTGCTGGGCATGGAGGGGCGTCCCGGAACATTGTGAGTGCAGGGATGGAAGTACTTGTGTGTGGTGCCCCAGCTAGGGCTAGACACCGAGTTTTCCCTTCTGTCCCCTTAGGGTGGTGATGATGATGATGATGATAATGATGACTGCGTGCATGGCTCAGTCTTTGATCTTTAGCAAGGGCACTCACATTACAATTAGTTTTGGCTCTCATGACAATTCCAGATGCTTACAGGGCAAGGAGTTGGGTCCTCATGCGCTAGATGGGGAAACAGACGCAAGAGCTTGCCCAAAGGGTTGGCGGCAGGGCTGGGACACTGACCCCTGACTCCCACGTCACCTCCCTTCTGCCCCTCAGTACACAGCCCAGGGGGAGCCGTTCCCCAACAACCTGGACAAGCTATGTGGCCCCAACGTGACGGACTTCCCGCCCTTCCACGCCAACGGCACGGAGAAGGCCAAGCTGGTGGAGCTGTACCGCATAGTCGTGTACCTTGGCACCTCCCTGGGCAACATCACCCGGGACCAGAAGATCCTCAACCCCAGTGCCCTCAGCCTCCACAGCAAGCTCAACGCCACCGCCGACATCCTGCGAGGCCTCCTTAGCAACGTGCTGTGCCGCCTGTGCAGCAAGTACCACGTGGGCCATGTGGACGTGACCTACGGCCCTGACACCTCGGGTAAGGATGTCTTCCAGAAGAAGAAGCTGGGCTGTCAACTCCTGGGGAAGTATAAGCAGATCATCGCCGTGTTGGCCCAGGCCTTCTAGCAGGAGGTCTTGAAGTGTGCTGTGAACCGAGGGATCTCAGGAGTTGGGTCCAGATGTGGGGGCCTGTCCAAGGGTGGCTGGGGCCCAGGGCATCGCTAAACCCAAATGGGGGCTGCTGGCAGACCCCGAGGGTGCCTGGCCAGTCCACTCCACTCTGGGCTGGGCTGTGATGAAGCTGAGCAGAGTGGAAACTTCCATAGGGAGGGAGCTAGAAGAAGGTGCCCCTTCCTCTGGGAGATTGTGGACTGGGGAGCGTGGGCTGGACTTCTGCCTCTACTTGTCCCTTTGGCCCCTTGCTCACTTTGTGCAGTGAACAAACTACACAAGTCATCTACAAGAGCCCTGACCACAGGGTGAGACAGCAGGGCCCAGGGGAGTGGACCAGCCCCCAGCAAATTATCACCATCTGTGCCTTTGCTGCCCCTTAGGTTGGGACTTAGGTGGGCCAGAGGGGCTAGGATCCCAAAGGACTCCTTGTCCCCTAGAAGTTTGATGAGTGGAAGATAGAGAGGGGCCTCTGGGATGGAAGGCTGTCTTCTTTTGAGGATGATCAGAGAACTTGGGCATAGGAACAATCTGGCAGAAGTTTCCAGAAGGAGGTCACTTGGCATTCAGGCTCTTGGGGAGGCAGAGAAGCCACCTTCAGGCCTGGGAAGGAAGACACTGGGAGGAGGAGAGGCCTGGAAAGCTTTGGTAGGTTCTTCGTTCTCTTCCCCGTGATCTTCCCTGCAGCCTGGGATGGCCAGGGTCTGATGGCTGGACCTGCAGCAGGGGTTTGTGGAGGTGGGTAGGGCAGGGGCAGGTTGCTAAGTCAGGTGCAGAGGTTCTGAGGGACCCAGGCTCTTCCTCTGGGTAAAGGTCTGTAAGAAGGGGCTGGGGTAGCTCAGAGTAGCAGCTCACATCTGAGGCCCTGGGAGGCCTTGTGAGGTCACACAGAGGTACTTGAGGGGGACTGGAGGCCGTCTCTGGTCCCCAGGGCAAGGGAACAGCAGAACTTAGGGTCAGGGTCTCAGGGAACCCTGAGCTCCAAGCGTGCTGTGCGTCTGACCTGGCATGATTTCTATTTATTATGATATCCTATTTATATTAACTTATTGGTGCTTTCAGTGGCCAAGTTAATTCCCCTTTCCCTGGTCCCTACTCAACAAAATATGATGATGGCTCCCGACACAAGCGCCAGGGCCAGGGCTTAGCAGGGCCTGGTCTGGAAGTCGACAATGTTACAAGTGGAATAAGCCTTACGGGTGAAGCTCAGAGAAGGGTCGGATCTGAGAGAATGGGGAGGCCTGAGTGGGAGTGGGGGGCCTTGCTCCACCCCCCCCCATCCCCTACTGTGACTTGCTTTAGGGTGTCAGGGTCCAGGCTGCAGGGGCTGGGCCAATTTGTGGAGAGGCCGGGTGCCTTTCTGTCTTGATTCCAGGGGGCTGGTTCACACTGTTCTTGGGCGCCCCAGCATTGTGTTGTGAGGCGCACTGTTCCTGGCAGATATTGTGCCCCCTGGAGCAGTGGGCAAGACAGTCCTTGTGGCCCACCCTGTCCTTGTTTCTGTGTCCCCATGCTGCCTCTGAAATAGCGCCCTGGAACAACCCTGCCCCTGCACCCAGCATGCTCCGACACAGCAGGGAAGCTCCTCCTGTGGCCCGGACACCCATAGACGGTGCGGGGGGCCTGGCTGGGCCAGACCCCAGGAAGGTGGGGTAGACTGGGGGGATCAGCTGCCCATTGCTCCCAAGAGGAGGAGAGGGAGGCTGCAGATGCCTGGGACTCAGACCAGGAAGCTGTGGGCCCTCCTGCTCCACCCCCATCCCACTCCCACCCATGTCTGGGCTCCCAGGCAGGGAACCCGATCTCTTCCTTTGTGCTGGGGCCAGGCGAGTGGAGAAACGCCCTCCAGTCTGAGAGCAGGGGAGGGAAGGAGGCAGCAGAGTTGGGGCAGCTGCTCAGAGCAGTGTTCTGGCTTCTTCTCAAACCCTGAGCGGGCTGCCGGCCTCCAAGTTCCTCCGACAAGATGATGGTACTAATTATGGTACTTTTCACTCACTTTGCACCTTTCCCTGTCGCTCTCTAAGCACTTTACCTGGATGGCGCGTGGGCAGTGTGCAGGCAGGTCCTGAGGCCTGGGGTTGGGGTGGAGGGTGCGGCCCGGAGTTGTCCATCTGTCCATCCCAACAGCAAGACGAGGATGTGGCTGTTGAGATGTGGGCCACACTCACCCTTGTCCAGGATGCAGGGACTGCCTTCTCCTTCCTGCTTCATCCGGCTTAGCTTGGGGCTGGCTGCATTCCCCCAGGATGGGCTTCGAGAAAGACAAACTTGTCTGGAAACCAGAGTTGCTGATTCCACCCGGGGGGCCCGGCTGACTCGCCCATCACCTCATCTCCCTGTGGACTTGGGAGCTCTGTGCCAGGCCCACCTTGCGGCCCTGGCTCTGAGTCGCTCTCCCACCCAGCCTGGACTTGGCCCCATGGGACCCATCCTCAGTGCTCCCTCCAGATCCCGTCCGGCAGCTTGGCGTCCACCCTGCACAGCATCACTGAATCACAGAGCCTTTGCGTGAAACAGCTCTGCCAGGCCGGGAGCTGGGTTTCTCTTCCCTTTTTATCTGCTGGTGTGGACCACACCTGGGCCTGGCCGGAGGAAGAGAGAGTTTACCAAGAGAGATGTCTCCGGGCCCTTATTTATTATTTAAACATTTTTTTAAAAAGCACTGCTAGTTTACTTGTCTCTCCTCCCCATCGTCCCCATCGTCCTCCTTGTCCCTGACTTGGGGCACTTCCACCCTGACCCAGCCAGTCCAGCTCTGCCTTGCCGGCTCTCCAGAGTAGACATAGTGTGTGGGGTTGGAGCTCTGGCACCCGGGGAGGTAGCATTTCCCTGCAGATGGTACAGATGTTCCTGCCTTAGAGTCATCTCTAGTTCCCCACCTCAATCCCGGCATCCAGCCTTCAGTCCCGCCCACGTGCTAGCTCCGTGGGCCCACCGTGCGGCCTTAGAGGTTTCCCTCCTTCCTTTCCACTGAAAAGCACATGGCCTTGGGTGACAAATTCCTCTTTGATGAATGTACCCTGTGGGGATGTTTCATACTGACAGATTATTTTTATTTATTCAATG
The DNA here is from genome assembly GCF_000001405.40 of Homo sapiens. Classification (NCBI taxonomy): domain Eukaryota; kingdom Metazoa; phylum Chordata; class Mammalia; order Primates; family Hominidae; genus Homo; species Homo sapiens. The sequence continues at coordinate 30,240,539 of NC_000022.11, read as the reverse complement.
TCATATTTAAAATATTTATTTTTTATACCAAATGAATACTTTTTTTTTTAAGAAAAAAAAGAGAAATGAATAAAGAATCTACTCTTGGCTGGCTCTCCGGAGTGTACTGATGTGGGGAGATGGGCTGGAAGGGCTGGGACTGTCCCTGTCCTGGGCACCAGCCAAGTGGGACTCAGCGAAGGGTGGAGGAGGGTGGGTGAGGGGCACCTGGCATAGGTGGGGGCAGTTAGGTGGTATTTTGGCCAAGGCAGAACAAGGTGGGTGGTGTCTAGATCATGGGGTGCCCCCAAGGAGAGAGATGGATTGCTCAGAGGTAAAGGGGGTGCTGGGCACGGTGGGTCACTCCTGTAATCCTAGCACTTTGGGAGGCTGAGGCAGGTGGATCATTTGAGCCCAGGAATTCGAGACCAGCCTGGCCAACATGGTGAAACCCTGTCTACAAAATATACAAACAGCCAGATGCTGTGGCGTCCGCCTGTGGTCCCAGCTACTCGGGGTGCTGAGGTGGGAGGATCCCTTGATCCCAGGAGGTGGAGGCTGCGGTGAGCCATGATTGCGCCACTGCACTGCAGCCTGGGTGACAGAGGAAGACCCTGTCTCAAAAAAAAAAAAAAAAAAAAAAAGAAGTAAACGGGGTGCCGTGTGATATCTCAGCTCATTCCCTCCCAACTCCTCACTTAATCTCATGGGATCTCCAGGAGTTGCCATCCCCACATACCAGAGGAAGAAATCGAGGCTCAGAGCCATGAAACCACGTGCCCAGGGGCACTTGAAGTGTTTAGGGCCAGTTAGGGCCACTCCTTCACCTCCAGATCTCATGATCTTTCCCCTACATGAGACTTCGAGGACCTGTAAGATACCAGCTGCCAAGGTCTCTGTTGCCCAGGAATGTCCTGTTGACCATTCAGAGGGACATAACAGGACAACTCGAATGGCTCCAGAGTGGGAGGGGATAGGTGGTCCTACTCAGAATCACACAGGACACTGGGGCCAGAACCAAGGAGGACTCTGCCCGCCCTGATTCCGTCCCTCCTCCCGCTGCCTATTTGGGAACCGAATCCCCTTCCACTGCAACCTTCTTCCCAGCCTTCTGCAATCCCTTCCTGGGGGGATTCAAGGTCAGAACTGGGAAACCACAGACACTGAGACTCTGGAGCGGCCCCGAATGTCTCCCTGCTCTTTGCTCTAGGGTTTGGGTCTGGGGCTCCCCGAGCCGAGATTTATTTCGGGGATCTGGGCAGTGTTTCTGAGAGTCACCTACTGGCTTGTTCCTGAATATTTGTAAGTGTCAGCTCCTGTGCCGGGTTGCAATGCCTTCTAGAAGCTCACAGGCTGGGAGGGACACTTAGGATGTATGTGATGGACGAGGCACACAGAGGGCGGTGAGTCCACGATGAGGAGAGCCTCGCTCTGGGAGGCAGCAGGGGGCTCGGGCTGTGGTCCCCTCTGCTCTCTGTAACATGAAGGGACTGCATTCAACAACATGGCGCGACCTTGGCCTCACCTGGAAGCTGATTAGCAGTGCCGAATCTTGACCTCACCCCCCGACCTGCAGAATCAGAACGTACACATTAGCAAGATCCCAGGAGACTCGTGTGCACATTAAAGTCGGAGAAAGGCCACCCTGCGCTTTCATCTCTCGTTCCTCAGGAGTCCCCCACGCCAAGTGCAAATGGCCAAGGGCCGGGAAGGCAGCTGCTTGGGAGGGAGAGGCCGGCAGGCCCACAGCTGTTTCTGAGTCTTCCCCTGAAGTCTCCCGCCCAGTCTCCAGGAGGCTGGCTCAGGCCCTGGGCCACACCCCACAACGTCCTCCCCCACCGCCCAGGAGTGGAAACACTCCTCCCCTCTGCTCAGGGAGACAAGGTTGAAGCTTTTCAAAAGCAACCTTTACTAGGAAACTAGAGGAAAACAAAACAAATGGCAAAGCACAGAAAGGTAGAGAATGACAGCTAAGTCCTGGGTGGCTGGCTGGGGACGCCAGGGCCTAGGGATGCTCCCTGCCTCTCTCAGCCTGGGAGAGGGCCCTGCCCTGGCAAAATAGAACAAAGGACTGTTAATTGGTTATTGGGTCACCCTCCAAAAAAGAGGCAAAAACAATCACTTTGTGGGAAAAAGTGGGAGAAGGGAGGTGTTTGCTTTGCTGGGAAGGCCCTGCCCCTGCGGCCGGCCAGGATCCTGGGCCTGGCGCTCCCCGATGCAGTCCCGTGACCCTTTTCATGAGCTCAGCTGTCTTATCTTGAAAATTGCAAGAATCATCAGTGATGAATGCCATCTTATCTACTTCACAAGGTTGTCCGAAGGAATTACAAGTAGGGACATAGAAATGCCTCGTGAATCCCGCTCCTCCAAGGGTGGAGATGGTCCAAGCAGAATGCGTCTCAGACACCTGGTGCCCTCTTTGCAGGGGAAGGGGCCACTCTCTCCCAGTGAATGTGGAAGGGAGGATTCTGACAGTCCTGAGTTCAAGGCCAGGGCCAGGTGGATGGGGAGGGGGCGAGCCTGGCAGACAAAAGTCCTAGTAGCTGACTGATCCCCTCATGGTAACTTGAGTCTCAGGTCCAGAGGATGCCTGGAGAGAGAGGCCCCCTGACCCCAGGCGTGTGGTAGAGCCAGCGGGGCAGCCCTCCTGCCCAGCCAGCTCTCAGGAGTTCAACAGGACATGGCACCACCCTTCCCCCGATCCCAAGAGAACAACTGCCAACAGCTACCCACAGGATACATATGCCCATGGGCTCTGCGAGGCCCTACATCTTGCAGTTCACAAAGCATCTTCTCACCCATCACGAGATCCTCCCAACCACTCAGTGAGGCTTTGGCTGGGTTACTCCTTCTATTTCACATAAGGAAACTGAGGCCCAGGGAGGCAGAGGGTACCCTGACGTCACTCAGCTTGTGAGAGATGCTGTTGATGTTTTCTCATCTTTATGGTCAACACCATCCACTCACCTGGTCAAGACTGGCAAGGCCTTCTATGCACCAGGCGTTAGATCTACAGGAGCTCAATGGTTCCTAGCAGAAGAAAGAGAGTCTCCCGGGTAACCTCTGTTCGAAATTCAAAGACAATGCAGAATGGGAATTCATTTATTTTGCTAAACAATCACATTTTCAGCAATAAATATTAACATCATAATGGAACCACGATGTATTTATTTCCCTATTTACAATCCTCTTTATTCCAAACAGCATGTAAAGCAGCTTATAGCAGAAGGTACCTAATGAAAATGCTGATAAAATAGAGAATCGGGATGAGAGAAGATATAAACAGAGTGAGAAAACTAAGACCACAGAAAGAAAGAAAATAAATGTTTCAGATCACAAGGGGCCACATAATTGCCATGGCTGAGCTTCAAAGTTGGATCTGAGATTCCTGGCAGCCGAAAGGAAAATGGAAATGTGATCTTCTTATGTGATTCTCATAATCAAAAAAGAGGAGTCTCAGGGAAAGCAGAGCCTGTCCTGGGACTGGTTTCGAAAGGGAATTTCTCCCTGGAGACTTATGGGGGGACAGGGGTGTTGTGATGCCCTCTCCTCCAGCCACAGCCTTCTGCACAGGCATGTGGATTTTTGGAGGGCGGTTTCTGCAGCCATCTTTGCAAAAGCTGGCGCCCGACATCCAGTGAAGCTTGCTATGATTTGAATGTGTCCCCCAAATTTCATGTGTTGGAAACCCAATCCCCAAATCCGTGTGTTGATTGGTGGTGGGCCCTTTGGGAGGTAGTTGGGATTAGATAAGATTATCAGTGTTGGGCCCTCATGATGGGGACTGGTGGCTAGAAGAAGAGGAAGAAAGGCCAGACCTAAAGTGCACACCAGCTCTCATCATGTGACGTCTTCTGCCGTGTTATGATGCGGCAAAAAGTTCCTCACCAGATGCTGGTGCCACGTTTTTGCACTTCCCAGCCTCCAGAACTGTGAGTGAAATAAACTTCTTTTCTTTAAATTACCCAGTCTGCGATATTCTGTTACAGCAACCGAAATGGCTAAGACACAGTCCAATGAAACGGGTCCTAAAAGGGGCCAGGATGACACAGGCACAAACTGGGGCTTTAGCCTGACTGAGGGTGGACTTTTGAAGGTGGAGCAGAAGCCTCAGAAGCTTCTGCCTTAACTCCAGTAGTTTAAAACCCTTTTTATTGATGAAGGACTTCCTCCCTCTGGGAAGAGTCTGCAAATGCCATGAGGTGGGGGCAGGAAGGAAGGCAACATGATTGGGGCAGGAAATTGGGGATCAGTGGCCTTAAATCTGCCTCATTACAAGGCCACTTGGATCCTCTGGGACCCAGGCAAAAAGCCTTTTCCTGGTCACTGGCTTTGGCATCCAGGACATTTCTCAAGCCTCCTCCTGCCCTAGCAGAGGCCTCAGCTTGAGTCCATCCCTTTGACTTGGGGAAGCACCACCCTGCTTTGGGGCCAAAAATTTCAATTATGAGGACGTGGTCAAGCCCTGCCCACTCCAGCCAAGAGTCAGTGACTGGGGGAGAGGGGAGGGGATGTGAAGAGAGTGTCTGGGGCTGGGGGCGGGTGAGATGCAGAGAAAGAGCCACAGCCGCAGACACAGACGAGCAATGGGATTGGGGGCCCAGCAGGGGTTAACCAAGCAGAAAACCACCAGCGAGAGGAAAATATGTGCGAAGCATTTTTGTAATTCCTAGCTGATCGGTCCAGCTCCTGCCCAGACGGCCAATGAATCAAAGCCGGGATGGGCACTACCTGTCAGCAGGCTCTTTCCTGGCACACTCACTCAGGCCCCACCTCCCAGCGAGCCAGCTGGAACACTCCCCATTTCCCTGAAGGACCTTTCTTTGCAGATAGATGAGAAGTGTGCCATAGGCAAGGCCCAGGCACTGACAGCCCGTGGGTCCAGAACTCTCAGCCTCCTCCCCTCCCTGCTTTCCCTGCCCTGTCTCAAACAGGAGCCTTACCTGCACTTCCCACTGTAGGCGGTTGGATGGTGGCCCCCCAGAAAAGATATAGCTGAGTCTTAATCCCCAGAACGTGACCTTATTTGGAAAAACAATCTTTGCAGACGTAATTCAGTTAAGGATCTCGAAGCGAGATCATCCTGGATTTCTGGGTGAGCCCTAAATGCAGGGACAAGTGTCATAAGAGACTAAGAAAGGAGAGAAGAGGAGAAGGCCACGTGAAGACAGGGGCTGAGATTGGAGTGATAGGCAGCAAGTCAAGGAAGGCTTAGGGCCACCAAAAGCTGGAAGACAGGGAAGGCTCCTCCCTCAGAGCCTTGGAGGGAGCACAGCCCTACTGACCCTTTGATTTCTGACTTTTGGCCTCCAGAACTGTGAGAGAATAAATGTCTATTGTTTTAAGCCACTCGGTTTGTGGTAATGTGTTAGGCAGCCTTGGGACACGAACACACCCATATCTTTCCAAGGCCTATATGCCACCTGGACCAAATGTGTCCAAATCAGCCTCCATGTGGCTCGGGCTATTCCCTCCTCTGTGTCCTGGACTCAGCCTGTGCTGCTGCAACAGCCTTCAGACCCATCCCCCTGCCTTGAGCCTTCCAGTCTGACCGAACCATCTGCTTACTTCAAAAGCCTTTAAAATTCCTGCTTAAGCTGCTGACGGGGTAAGGCCAACTCCTCCTTGTAGACCTAGTTCCCAGCTTCAAGGCTAAGTTCATGTGTGCACAGTCTGGGCAGCTGCCCAGGGCCCTCATGCAGGAATTCTTAATGGTTTTTCAACCAGCGACCTGGCATTTCCATTTTACAAAGCATGTAGCTTGTTCTGTTCAACGGAACCTCTGGGCTCACCTCCCTCACAACCACTTCCCTCAGGCCATAGTGGTAGCTTGGAGGTCTGTTAAATGTCACAGAACTTTTGTCTAGACTGCCCTTTTTCCTTTGCTATGGAGAAAATTCTGATCCTTCAAGGTCCTGTTCAAATGTCACCTCATCCTTCAAGTGCTCTTTGCCTCTTTCAGGTTTGACTCTCCTAAGTCCATCTGAACTCCAATTGTAGGTTTTTTTTTTTTTTTTTTTTTTTTTTTTTTGGAGACAGGGTCTCACTGTGTTGCCCAGGCTGGAGTGCAATCGTGTGATCTTGGCTCACTGCAACCTCCACCTCCTGGGTTCAAGTGATTCTCGTGCCTCAGCCTCCCAAGTAGCTGGGACTACAGGCATGCACCACCACCCCTGGCTAATTTTGTATTTTTAGTAGAGACGGGGTTTTGCCATGTTGGCTAGGCTGGTCTCAAACTCCTGACCTCAAGTGATCTGCTGGACACTGGCCTCCCAAAGTGCTGGGATTACAGGCGTGAGCCACTTTACCCGGCTAATCGTAGGTTTCTACTGGGCTCTAGAATTCACCAGACTCTCTTTATAGGATCATGTTTCACAAGGACCTACTGTTTATTGGCCCCTACTATGCACAGAACACATGATATATACTTTATGTAGGAAATAGCAATAACAGTTTCCATTTATTAAATGCCCGTGCCAGGCTACACTAGGTAAAATGAATGGAGCACAGGCCAGTTGTGTCTACACCTCTGGGAGCTTAGAGATGCAGAACATTTTTTGTTCTTTTTTATTTTAGAGACTGGGTCTCGCTCTGTCATCCAGGCTAGAGTTCAGTGACACAATTATAGCTCACTGCAGCCTTGAACTCCTGAGCTCAGGTGATCTTCCCATCTCAGCCTTCCAAGTACCTAGGACTATAGGTGCACACCACTGAGCCTGGCTAACTTATTTTTGTAGAGACAGGGTCTCACTATGTTGCCCAGGCTGCTCTCAAACTCCTGGCTTCAAATGATTTTCCCACCATGACATCCCAAAGTGCTGGGATAAGAGGCGCGAGCCACCATGCCTGGCCAAAATACGGAATCTTGGCCCCACTTCAGACTGCTGGTTTGGAATCTGCGTTTCACTGCGATTCTCAGGACATTGTTCATTTCATCAGATGAGAGCTGGTGTGCAGTACCCAGCACAGGGCCAGGGCTCTGACATGCTTGGATTTGAATCCTGGCTTTATTTTTTCCAGCTGTGGGAGCTTAGGCAAGTTTCTGAAATTCTCTGTGCCTCAGTTTCCTCATCTGTCCCATGATAGCCATTGTAAGAAGCAGATGTGAAGATGCCCGCGAGGCTGGGTAAGCAGGCCGGGCAGCAGCTGAATGTCAGTGCCCAGTCTGCCTCCTCCTATGCTGCCCATAGGGCTGTCCATTCTTGATCACCTCTAAAACTCTCATAAGCCCTTCCACATGGAGTAAGGGGAACCCCAGATCTCTTGGAGGCTGCAGAGAAAGTACAGAAATGTGTGGGGGGTCTTTCTGTCTCCCCAACCCCAGCCTCCAGAGCCCCCCACTCAGTTCAGCCTCCCGCATTCTCTGCTTGCCTCCCCTCCCCCACTCCTCCCACAGGAGGTCCAGCTTCCCAGCAGCAGGGAACCCCCGAGGGAGGCACTGGAGGAGGGGGAGCCGGGCGTGAGGTCAGCCCCACGTCAGCCCCTTTCCCTTTCCCCACCGTGGTTGGGAAGAGGCCGCTGAGCGGGTGCCAGCCATGGGGGAGGTCTGTCCCTCGCTCCCGGGCCAGACCACAGGCAGCCACGCTGGGCTGCAGCCAGGCCGGGGGGAGGTGTACTCAGCCCCCAAGCTCCTCTCTGTCTGGCCCTCGGGACCCCTCCCCGACCCCAGATCCAAGCAGCCGCCAAGGGCTCTTCCAAGCAGGTGAGGTCATTGTCTCCACCAGACCAGCCTGACGCAAGGAAGTCAGCCACCCACGTGGCAGGATTCATGCACCCCAAGTCCTTTCTCCAAACCACCTCCCCTGCTGGCAGCTCTGGGGCCACCACTTGGTTCCCTCCAAGGGGTCTTCAGGATTTGACCCCAAGCACCTGCTGGGTGGAAACAGAGCTGAGTGGGGGAAGGAAGAAACATGGAAAAGGCAGATTCCAGGACCACCCTCCAGAGTCCACTTGGGTCCATGAAAAGAACAAGCTCCCGGGGTGACCCCGTGCACAGGCAGGTTCGGGGACCTCTGGCTTCGAGCATCGTTTGCTGTCTACGGAACAGCAGGCTGCATCAGCTAGTGTTCGTTCTGTGCTCACAGAGATTTTTATTACTGCTTGGCCGAAACTAACCCTTCCTTCTGCTTTTTAGGGTTTCCCGATAATGCCTGGTACCATTTTGGGTGCCCAGAATGTCTTTGCCAACGGCCTGGGGAAGTTCGTGGCCTCCAGAGCAGAGGATGAGTGCAGGTTCCCTGGTGAGCCCTTGAGGATGTTCAAACCTCAGGGAGTCAAAATCAATAGTTCTCGGTCAGAGACGATCTTGCCTCCAGGGGACATTTTGCGATGCCCCGAGACGGTTTTGGTTGTCTTGCATAACTGGTGAGGTGCTGCTGGCATCGAGAGAGTGGAGGCCACGGGTGCTGCTAAACATGCCTCAATGCACAGGACAGCCCCCTCCTGCCGCCAAGAATCATTTGGCCCAAAATGTCAGCTGTGCCGAGGCTGAGAAGCCCTGGTCAAAGGAATCCATCAATTAACCTACCACCTCTCAGCATCTCACCTGCTCTCCGACTATGGTGATAAAGAAGACGGCTGGCACGGTGGCTCATGCCTGTAATCCCAGCACTTTGGGAGGCCGAGGCAGATGGGTCACGAGGTCAAGAGATTGAGACCATCCTGGCCAACATGGTGAAACCCCATCTCTAGTAAAAATACAAAAATTAGCTGGGTGTGGTGGCGCGTACCTGTAGTCCCAGCTACTCGGCAGGCTGAGACAGGAGAATCGCTTGAACCCGGGAGGCGGGGGTTGCAGTGAGTTGAGATCATGCCAGTGCACTCCAGCCTAGCAACAGAGGGAGACTCCGTCTCAAAAAAAAAAAAAAAAGAAGAAGAAGAAGACAAGAACAAGAGCCATCTCCCTTGAAACTGACTGTGGGGCTCCTCGGACTCCGATCCTGTTTGTGTGCATATATGTGTGCAAACACACTTGCACACACTCGCGGGACAGCCCAAGAGGCCAATGAGAACTGCAAGTTCACACACAGAAGCCTTGGGCAGCCCCTGGAAAGCTCAGTGGGCAGGAAGCTAGGAGGCCTTTCCTCCTGGTCTCAGGCAGCCTCCCCCTTGCTGTGCTCTCTGGACGCATCCCTTCACCTCTCTGAGCCTTGGTTTTCGTGAAGTGAAGCTGGTGTAAGAGGATTCAGGCTTTAGAGCCAGACTGCCCTGGGTGTGGGTCCTGGTTCTGTCCCTGACCGGCTATGGGAACCAGGACTCCTGATTTTTCTTCTCTGTGTCCCCATTTCCTCGTATGCAAAGTGTGGACCCTGTGTCTCATCTCACAGGGCTGCTGGGAAGACAGATGGGCTAATATAAGGAAGACACTCTGCCCGGTGTTCCCGTACTGTGGAGCATTCCAAAATGGCAGCTTTCTTTCCTGTTACTGCGAGGTTCACACCAATCCAGTTATGCCTAGGGATCTGCACACCGCTACCCACCAGGCTATGGTTGCAGATAAAATACAGGACACTAAAGTTCAAGTTTAACTGGATGTCCTGAATTTTGATTTGCTAAATCCATCCAGCTGCCTGTTTTTGTAAACAAAGCTTTATTGGAACACAGCCACGCCCATTCATTTACATATTGTCTTGGTTATTTTTGTGTGTGTTATAATAGAATCCACTAGTCATGACAGAGACCTTGATGGTCCATGAAGGCTAAAATAGTTAGTACCTGACCCTTTACAGACAGGTTGCTGAGCCCTGGTCTATGTCTGGAAATAATTGCCTGAGAGTGGTTGGGTGTGTGTCTGGGTCCCATGGAGTAAGTGTCCCCTCTTTTGGGTGGTGGGTAGAAGAGAGGTGTGCAGAGGAAGGTGGGCACTCTCAGTCATCTTAGGAACACAGCCTGCAGGTGACCAAGCCTGGGGGTCCAGGGGCATGGGTTCTTTCTTTTTTTTTCCTTTTTTTTTGAGATTGGGTCTTGCTCTGTTGTCCAGGCTGAAGTGTAGTGGCACCATCACAGCTTACTGCAGCCTAGACCTCCTGGGCTCAAGCAATCCTCCAGGGCCTGGGTTCTTGAGCTAATCCTTTGCTGACTTTCAAATGAGTCTGACAGTCTTTTCTGCAGTTTTTTTTTTGAGACAGAATCTTGCTCTCTTGCCCAGGCTGGAGTGCAGCGGTGGGATCTTGGCTCACTGCAACCTCTGCCTCCTGGGTTCAAGCGATTCTCGTGCCTCAGCCTCCTAAGTAGCTGGGATTACAGGTGTCCGCCGCCATGCCTGGTTATTATTATTATTATTATTATTATTATTATTGTTATTATTGTATTTTTAGTATTTTAGTAGAGATGGGGTTTCACCATGTTGGCCAGGCTGGTCTCAAACTCCTGGCCTCAAGTGATCTGCTCACCTCGGCCTCCCAACGTGCTGGGGTTATAGGTGTAAGCCACTGCACCCAGCCTTTTCTCTAGTTCTTACTTCCTTTGTTTGTTCAACAAATATATATATATAATTTTTTTTTTAGACCGAGTCTCGCTCTGTCACCAGGCTGGGAGTGCAGTGGCACGATCTTGGCTCACTGCAACTTCTGCCTCCTGGGTTCAAGTGATTCTCCTGCCTCAGACTCCTGAGTAGCTGGGGCTATAGGCGCCTGCCACCATGGCCAGCTAATTTTTGTATTTTTAGTAGAGACGGGGTTTCACCATGTTGGCCAGGATGGTCTCGATCTCTTGACCTGGTGATCCACTCGCCTCGGCCTCCCAAAGTGCTGGGATTACAGGCATGAGCCACCACGCCCGGCCTGTTCCACAAATATTTACGAACCACCTACTATGTTCTGGATGACGGCTGGATGCAGGTCTCAGTCCTTATGTACACAGGATGGTATCAGCGGGTGACAGAATGCCCTGGAAGATGACACTATCGCAGAGCCTGGGGAGGGGCTGATTTAGATGGGTGGGCGGGAAAGTGACATTTGAGCAGAGACCTGATGGAGGAGCCTCAGTTTCCCCATCTGCTGCCTCCTTAGGGCTTCCAGGGCTGCTTATGGTAGGAATAGGTTGGCTCTGGCCAAGAGACTGCGTTTCTCCCAAACCCTTTAGGGTAAGACCCCTTGGATAGGGGCCTCCCATCTCACCCTCTGGTCCTCGGAGGGGCTGCCACCTGGTGGGGAAGAGGGTGGGGCCATGGAGGTAAGGGGTGAGGAAAGGGGCAGGGAGGAAGGGACTCATCCTGACAGTGGTCAGCAGCGCCCTCCCTTCCTTCCTGTGTTCCCAGAAGGGGCGTCCTGTCCCGAACCCGCAGCTGGCCAGGCGGACCTGACCCCAGCTGGAGGGCTGTGCTGCGTGGGCTTCCTGCAGGGTGTAGCTCGGACCCCCTGGATGGCTGGTTGCCCTTGGCAAAATGGGCCAGAGTTTCCCTCACAGCCTTAGGGAATGGCCTTGGCGGGCCCCTCTAAGCCCCTGACCCGGGTGCCCTTGGAGGTAGGTGACGGCCCAGGCGTGTAGTGGAGGGTGGTGGGGTGACAGCGGTCAATGCATGGGCCCTGAGGCCCCCCCGAATGCCGGCCAGCATCATTTCCTGCTCCACTTTCTCTCTTCTGCATAGGAGTTCTCTGGTTCTCTGTAGATGAGTCCCTTCATCGACAGCAATTTTCTGCTGGACTAATCTGGTGAACAAATTGCCAACAGTGATGACATGAGGCCCTGTCAGGGGTGCTGGTGGCTCCATGGCAACACCACTAGGTCACACATTTACATTTTAATTGGGGCCTTCAGTGCCCTACGGCAAACGAGTGACTAATGCTGGAATTTTAGGCACCGGGGAACATGGGGAGTAAGGCGCCTTGAAGTACAGCACATATTTAAAAAGTCATCCCTTACAGGTGAATAGGGCTTTGGCATTTACTAACATAAAACTCATCTCATCTCATCGGCATTCGTTGACTTAATTCCATAATAGCTCTACTGGAGAGGCAGTTCTGTTTTTTTTTTTTTTGGAGCAGGATCTTACTCTGATGCCCAGGCTGGAATACAGTGGCACCATCACAACTCACTGCAGTCTCTCTCCTTTTTTTTTTTTTGAGATGGAGTCTCACTCCTGGCGCCCAGGCTGGAATGCAGTGGCTCGATTTCGGCTCACTGCAACCTCCACCTCCCAGGTTCAAGCAGTTCTCCTGCCTCAGCTTCCCAAGTAGCTGGGATTACAGGCATGTGCCAACACGCCCAGCTAATTTTGTATCTTTAGTAGAGATGAGGTTTCACCATGTTGGCCAGGCTGGTCTCAAACTTCCGACCTCAAGTGATTTGCCCACTTCGCCCCCCTAAAGTGCTGAGATTACGGGCATGAGCCACCACACCCAGCCACAACTCACTGCAGTCTTGATCTTCCAGGCTCAAGCAATCCTTCTGCCTTAGCCTCCCCAGTAGCTGAGATCACAGGCGGGTATCACACAGCTATTTTTTTTTTTTAATTTGTAGAGATGGGGTCTCACTATGTTGCCCAGGCCGGGCAGTTCTTATTTTAGACTTTCATTCATGTATTCATTCAGCATCTGGCTCTGTGCCAGGTACTGAACCCCAGGGTGGAAACACAAGATCCCTTCTACAGAGACACTATGTGGTTACTGTAATACATAAGATAACTATTGAATAGGAGGCAGCAAGGAGGAAATGGAGGCCCAGAGAAGTGGTGGGTGCTCTCGCAAAGAACATACCTCCCTACCCAAGCCTCCTCACTCCTGGTCTATACTAGCATTGCCCAAAGTACTTCCTCTGTACTAGCATTGCCCAAAGTGAGTTGTGTTGCTCTCCATTCACAAGGCAGTGCACCAGCATTCAAAGAAGAAAACCTGACTTTGCATCAGAAAAGTTTGGGAAAGAGTGGGTTAAACAAAATGAAAAAGAAGTGTTTGTTGCAGGACTTATCAGAGCCTTAAGGGCAGTCAGGTGGGGACAGAGTATGCAGCATGTCTGTGGATTCTTTGCCAGCAGCTCTTTCAGGACCACATTCCATGGACACTGGGAAAAGCTGACCCAACCACCTCCTTTAACATCTTTTTTCTTTTTTTCTTTTTTTTTTGAGACAGAATCTCACTCTGTCTCCCAGGCTGGAGGGCAGTGGTGCTATCTCCGCTCACTGCAGCCTCCACCTCCCAGATTCAAGTGATTCTCTTGCCTCAGCCTCACGAGTAGCTGGGACTACAGGCATGCACCATCATGCCAGGCTAATTTTTGTATTTTTTATTAAAGTAGAGATGGCGTTTCACCATGTTGGCCAGGCTGGTCTCGAACTCCTGGCCTCAAGTGATCTGCCCGCCTTGGCCTCCAAAAGTGCTGGGATTACAGGTGTGAGCCACTGCGCCAGGCCTCCTTTAACATCTTCAGCAGCTTTCTCACAGGCCGCCACCTGCCTAGCAGGCGCTGGCTAGATTGTGACTGCAGACCTTTCTCCTCCATCCCCCCAGGTTTCCCCTGTGACTTGGGGTTCTGGAACAGAAGGGGAGTTGACCAGGCACTGCTCCTCCTGCCCTAAATTGCAGCTTCATCCCACACCTGCCAAGCAAGGGGTTGGAGATAAACTCAGGGTGCACCTTCAGAGGGGTCCCTGCAGAGGCCTCACCTACCCCTGGCCTCCCAGAGCAATCTTCCTAAAACACAAAGCGGCTGACATAGCTCCTGCTTAAACCAACCGTGGCTCCCTAGTACCTTCAGGACCAAGTTTGAACCTCAGCCTCATTTTCCCCTGGCTTCCTGCTTTCTGCTCCAGCAAAACTGAACTGATTTTGTCCCTGGGACATGCTATGCTCATTCCAGCTTTCCTGGGAAGTCCTTCCCATCCCAGGCATTCCCTCTCACTGGTTTTATTCTTCCTTAGATGTGACTCAACTCAGGTCTCTTTCTTGGGAAAATCCCCCAGGCACTCCCAGGCTGGCCTCTCCCCGACAGTCTAGGAAGTGATCCTGTGAGTGTCCGCCTCTCCAGCAGGACTATAGACTTCCGTTCTTCCCCGCCAGGCCTCAGAGCCACGCTGGCGCTCACAAACATATACCGACTCCTATGTGTCAAGGCTGTTCTGGACACATGGGTTTCCAGGGGGACACCATAAACCCACAAATTGACTGTGTGACCTTGGGCAAGTTCCTAGAGCTCTCTGTGCCTGTCTTCCTCCTCTGAGGAGCAGGCTTACTGTGAGTTGAGAGAGGTTCGGCACAGAACAATGTCTGGCCTGTATGAAACAATGCACGTATTGTGCTACGATGACAATGGTGGTGTTGGCACAAGACTCTTGGGGCACCTGAGGATCCCTGTGTCACTGACTGGCTGGCTTTGGGCAAGAGCCTTTGTCCACCTGAGCCTCAGCATCCTCAACGGCAGAATAAGGTTGTTGAACGGCTGATCCCCGGGTAGGTTCAATGATGTCCCCTCCCCAGCCTCCAAGATACACCTACCTCCTGGAACCCGTGAATGTGACCTTATTTGGAAAAAGGGTCTTTGTAGATGTAACTAAGTTAAGGATCTCTAGATGAGATCATCCTGGAATATCTATGTAGGTCCTCAACCCACAGAAGTGTCCTTATAAGACAATGACAAGTGTCCTTACAAGAGAAAGGGAGAGAGGCTCGAGGCACGCAGGGGAGAAGGCCAGGTGAGGACAGAGACAGAGGCTGGGGTGAGGCAGCCATAAGCTCCGGGGCACCTGGAGCCACCCTCCAGAAACCACCTAGAAGAAGCAGGCAAGGATTCTTCCCTACAGCCTTGAAATGGGTGTGGCCCTGCTGGCACCTTGATTTCAGACTTCTGGCCTCCAGAACTGTGAGTGAATAAATGTCTGTTATTTCAAGCCACCCAGTTTGTGGTAATTTATTATGGCAACCACAGGAAACTAATACAACCCCTAAAGGGCTCTGCCAGCTCCAACAAGAACTGATTCAGAGATTCTCACAAATATCAGAAACGTTTCCCGTGGCCAGCCTCAGGGCTCCCGAAACCTAGAAATCGGGCTCTGGAAGGAGAACCCTTATTCCTTCTCTGGGATATTGATCCTGGGACACCAGCCCTCCCTTCTTCATCATTCTGTAATGACCCACCAGTACTCTTGGCAGTTAGCTGGAGGAATCTTTTGGGATGTTTCCTCATGCCTCTTCCACTTAGCTCAGGCTGTTCCCTATGAGGAAATGCTGTTCCCTGCTGCCTCCATCTGTTACTTGATTACGCAGCCTCCAGATCAGCCCGGACACTTCCTTCTCAGCAAAACCTCCTTTTGCCCCCTCTCCAGCTGCCTGGTAAAGTTAACTCTTGGCCCTTTGTCCTAAGGGCTATGTCTTTATCCATTTTTCTTTTCTTTTTGAGATAGAGTCTTACTCTGTCACCCAGGCTGGAGTGCAGTGGTACAATGATCATAGCTCACTATAATCTCAAACTCCTGGGCTCAAGCAATCCTCCCATCTCAGCTTCCCCAGCAATCGGGACTACAGGCATGTGCCACATGCCTGGCTAATTATTTTAGAGACAGGGTCTCGCTCTGTTGCCCAGGCTGGTCTCAAACTCCTAGTCTCAAGCGATCCTCTTGCCTTGGCCTTCCAAGGGCTGGGGGTTATAGGCATGAGCCACTGTGCCTGGCCCATCTTTCTATTATCAGAGTCTAATTCAATCCTGACCTGAGGGCAGTCACTCAACCCACGCATGTTCACGGGAAGGTGGGCTCCCATCGAAAAGCCCCAGTTTCCAGGTTAAAAGGGCAAGCCCAGCTTTGCTCTGGTCACTCAGTGGATGGCATGGGAGCCCCTGATAGTGAAGCTGAGAACTCTGGCTTCAGCCACTTGCAAGGGACTCCACCTCTCTGAGCCTCAGTTCCTCAATCAGTA